>NC_000006.12:16726666-16878181 GCF_000001405.40 Homo sapiens
CTAGCCTGGCCAACACGGTGAAACTCCATCTCTACTAAAAAGACAAAAAACAGCTGGGTGCCTGTAATCCCAGCTACTCTACTCAGGAGGCTGAGGCAGAAGAATCGCTTGAAGCCGGGAGGTGGAGGTTGCAGTGAGCCAAGATCATGCCATTGCACTCCAGCCTGGGCGACAAGAGCGAAACTTCATCTCAAAAAAAAACAAAGAATAATTTCTTAACAGGGTCCTACTTCAGATGGATTGCTCAAGAGTTCAGGCCATATGGAGTACAATTAGACACTGAACATACTACTTTCTGGATCTGGGCCAGTATGACAAATATTACAAAAGCTATTTTTTCCAGAAAGTCATCACAGTTTGAAACAGACAGTGACTTATTACCCTAAAGCCTTTTCAATTATGAAGTGCCTGCTCTGGTGTTACTACATATACAAAGGTGGTTACAAACATAAATAAGTAACCAAGTCTGTTTTCTCTTTCTCTCCTCTAGTAAATTATGTTAATTAAGCAAATTAAGATGATTAAAGTTCAAAATCTTTCATAATTGTTTACAATTTTCAAGTATCAGTAAAACCACAAAGCAAATAGATGTATTAAATATAATAAAAAAGCAATTAATTTTGGATCCATATATACTAGTAGGTAAGAGAAAAAATGGAAATAAATAATTCCAAAGTGAGGTTTGATGCTGAAAATTTGAACCACCGTCTCTGTCAATTATTGTAACACACAAAAAAGTTACTACATACTCAGTAACTGGGCTCAGAGAAGACATCTAATATGAATAAGAAAACAAGTCCAAATTACAATGTTTCAAGAAGAAATATAGTTTTAACTCTCTTAAGTACTTATAAAAAAATTTCAAAATGATCATCAAATTACTTAATGAATAGACTAAGAGAGCTTATATAATAATGTAATACAAATTATGTATATATAATCATATAATGCATGCAAACAGGAACTTCCAAAGTGCTTAAAAACAAATTTCCTTTATTACTGACTCTTAGCTGTTATTAGTCTGTGACATTATTTATATTATTTGTTAGCATAAAAAATCTTTTCTTCTTAGACATATTACTAATATAAATATTAATTCAATGTGTCCACAAATTCGGACTATAAAATGATCAAAATTAACAAAATTTCTGTCTACTGAAAGTGAAAATTCGTCAGAGACCGTTTCCTCCATTTACCAAGCCGAGATGCCAGTGGGCACAAAAATAATTTAAGCCACAACTGACCAACTTGAGACTGCACATTTGTTCATTCATTCGGGCCATACTTATTCACCATCTACTACTCTAAAATGGGGAAGCTGCAAGGGCAGCTGTAGAGGTCACTTGGTCTAGACCCTCATTTTGCATGAGGAGGCTGTGAGGATTACAGAGATTAAACGCCTGGAGCATGCTGAGTTTATCACAGAGAAAGGGCTGGAGAAGAGAGCAGGTCCCTTCCCTCCCTGCTCCTTGCTCTTTCTGCCACACTACCCTGGAGCTGAAAGGAGGCAAAGGCCTCCAGTCACATGGAGTCTGACTGGGACGCAAGACATCTAAGCCACAAAATGAAGCAATAAATGACATGATCAAATAAGCTGTGCGCACAGGGCAGTGGGGAGGGAAGTTGGTTTGGGCTGAAGCAGCTGGGGAAAACTTTCCGTCCCGGAGAAGTGGAGATTCATGCTGGGCATGGACAGTGGGGCAGAATGAGGACAGGTAAAGGCAGAGGGGCTGGGAACCCTCACAGCAAAGCAGGGTGGTCAGAAACAAACAGGATATGTATGGGCAACATCTGGGATGTAGGACAGAAACCAGGTTCTGCCCACCCTTTCTACAACTCAAGGTCTCCCTCTCACCAACTCCACTACACGCCATCACCCATATGCCTGGTATTTTGCCCTAAATGCTACACAAATAAGTTAGAAAACTCCAAAGGAGAATGGTAATATCATCATAGCAGGTGAAGTGTGAATACTAGGGGTATTACGTATATTGATTTTCTTAGTCCTTACATTGACTATAATCCCCACTCTTCAGATGAAGAAACTGAGGCACAGATAGGTTCAGGGACTTGGCCAAGGTGGTAAATGTCAAGGCTGGTATTCGAACTAGAGAGATATCAAAATTCTGGTATACCCAACCACAGATGAGGGACGCAGGCACAACCTTCACCAAGTGTGGATCCCAGCTGCAGGACAGCTTGGCATTCCCTTCCCCGTCACCCAGCTTCTATTCCTTCCCATTCTCCTTCTATTTATTCCTAGTTACTAAGAATTTTTAAGGTGCTATCACACCTCCAGGGCTACTTCCAAAAGCCTAGTCGAGCTGACTCAAAGGGAAGGTTCTTTAGGGACCTCAGCAATCCAAACACAGCAGACATCTGAGAAATCCTGAAACAAGTCTTCCTACAGAATGATGACTGCCTGCCTCTCTGGCAACTGAGAATGGGTTTTAAAAACATCCTCCTTTACTGTACAAAGTATCTGGTCACAAAGTTTGTTATTGGCAGAACCAGGATTAAAAATTATGACCTCTGCCTTTTTTCTCTCTCACCCTTATTCTCCCAAGGTGTATATTTATATGTTTTGCAAAGTAGCCAAAGGCAGACTTCAAAAGGAGCTTTCCTGTGGGGTGAGCGGTAAATGAATAACGGCTGGACTGAGAGAGCAAAGAGAAAATGAGTCATGGATATTGTGTTAAATATATAAGCGTTCGCTGGCTTTCTTTGAAATGTTTTCTCATCTAAACTTGGGAGCTGCTGGCTTTGTATTTACTCACCCTGAAACTGCATCTGGGACTCCGGAGTCAAGCTCTGAATAACATTCAAAGCCTGTATTCTTTCGTTCGAATTTTAGGCATTGCAACTTGTCATACCTATGTCTTTTACAGCAATGCAACTTAAATGAGGCAATAACTGAAATGGCTTAACCAGGGAGATGTGGTTTAGCACCATGTTGCAATCCAGCCATCCAACCCTCATGGAGGTCTCTGAGTTGGGGGAACCTACCAACAACTGGTTTACTGAGATCTCACAGCCCACACTATGATGCTTTGGGTGCCACTAACTAAAAGGTCCCTCTTTTTAATTATCTATTGCAACGGTTATATTTTTGTTCTATGGATTCTGGCCCTCCCACCTGATTCCTGACACAGAGAAAATGGCCCTCTGAACATCAGTCACGTAGGGTACTTAAGGACTAAGTGCTTAGCAGTCTGTTTGGCACACAGTAGGTGCTCAATAAATGTTGATTACCTTTCTTCCTTTTTCCCCAAATGAATGAAAAACCTCTCATCTCAGAGATGGCAACAGATTAAAAAAAGAAACTTCAAAAATTGGCCAAGCGCGATGGCGCACGCCTGTAATCCCAGCAATTTGGGAGGCTGAGGCAGGCAGATCACTTGAGGTCAGGAGTTCAAGACCAGCCTGACCAACACGGTGAAACCCAATCTCTACTAAAAATACAAAAATTAGTCGGGCATGGTGGTGCACGCCTGTACAGCTACTCAGGAGGCTGGGGCAGGAGAATCACCTGAACCCGGGAGATGGACATTACAGTGACGTGAGATTGTGCCATTGCACCCCAGCCTGGGCAACAGAGTGAGTGAGGCTCCGTCCCAAAATAAATAAATTAATAAATGGAAATGAACAATAACTTGGAATTTCCTTTATAAAATTAGATGTCTGCATATTAAATGAAGTTTGTTACTGCTTGATTACAATTTAAATTCAAGATTATCACTAAAAATCCCTTTATAGGTAGAAGTTAGGGAAAAAGATGTGTGAACGCAAAGCTTTCTGGAGTTAAAGGGTAAAACAGTATGTATATATATATATATATATAAATGTATTTATACATATATAATGTAATATAAAATATTTATGTACAATAATATATTTCTTAATTCTACAAAATACAGAAAGAATATTATAAGAAAATGTCCCACCTTCCTTAGGAACCATGTGTACCAAGACTTTTTAGGAATAGCACCCTGCCTGAAGATTGTATTCTTGCCCACTGTTCTTTCCTAACAAAATTTCCCTTCAAGTTCTCCTTTCGTTGTGAACTTCAGTTATTGCCTTTCCACTGGCTAAACACAACCACACATATCTTTCAAAAGCTAATTGAAGCATAAAGAAGTTAAACATGATTTATTCCAGGTCAAATTTCAAGTCAGTGGAAAAGCCATAAATACAGACCTTCCTCTTGCTGAGTGTTCTGGGTGCCGGGCCATGCTGCAGGGTGAAATTTTGACTTTTGATTGGTGTTTTCAAAATTCCTTTGTGTATTTAAAAGTAGCTCATATTGACAAGATAGAAGGAAGAAGCTTGGACAAATGTCATTAACGTTGCACAATTTCACATTCCTGGACCTATCACAGGTGCCACTGGTTATTAACATATGCATGTAAAACTCCCTGAAAGACACTGTATAACTGGCTCAAATGCCTACAAATGGAAGGAGGTTTAGTAGCCTAAAATATACTCTATTTTTCCCTTTAAGTGCAACTGAATCACAATCCACGAGAAGCAGTTTGTGCAAAAAAAAAATGCTCTGCATGTAAGAGCTACACTAAACTGCACTAGACCCCGTTCTAAGATAAGACCCGTATTAACAGAGCCAGGGAAGAATGAAAAGAAGATTCTGGGAGTGCAAGATGCATTCAGGGGAAAAAAACATCACAAGCACTGAGCTGCAATGAGAAATGAGGGCATCAGAGTCGTCATAAAAAAAAATCACAAGCATGTGCAGATTAGACAGATAACGAGAGAGGCTTTTTTTTTCTTTTCTTTTTTTTTTTTTTTTTTTTTTTTTTTTTAATAAAAACGGAGGTCATTCCTCTTGCTTTCAGGAGCTTGAAAAATAAACCAGAGCGACCAAGGGCTGCAAGGCTTTGACCTTCTGGTGAAGACAGCCTTTAGCAGGAGGAACCTAATCCCAGGAAGTTGTCTGTACTTTGCTTTCTGCTACCACACTAGAAGATTACTTGATCAAACAAATGGGCATTTTTCCCCATGATATCTCTGTATCATGAAAAAGTACATTTGTCATTTAATTTTTATCTAATTGTATTGCCGTTTCCTTCTCCGCCTCTTTCTCCCACCTACCCCCACCCCTCCTACACTGGCATTCTCTGTGGTCAAAGAATCTGTTTCAGTATTAGTGTTCAATATAGCAAATGTCAAGTAAACACTCTACACATTTCCTGTGCTATTTAAAGCACCCTAAGCAATTATTTGCTCTAAAGTATTAAACTGTAAATTTTCTTAGCTGGTGCCAATTCCTATAGTAATAGCTGTCACAGAAAAGTACTTTAGAGTACTCAAACACGGCTTTTAAACCGGCAACACTCATGCTACATTTGCCAAGACTTTTCTAGTTGTCATATTTTTATAGCATGTTTTTGAGACAATGGACTAACTGCAACAAAGTGTCATATGTAGCTCTTTTTTCATATTTGAAGCTTTATAGGCACACTGTAGTCTTTCAACATAATTTTTCTCCAAGCAAAAAGATGAGATAGAACATAAAAATAGGCAGACGCACATGGTCACACTTCAATCTCATCGTTATACTGCTTGGTGTTACAGGCCAGAATCATGACCATTGGAAAATATCACTCCGGCCGGGTGTGGTGGCTCACGCCTGTAATCCCAGCACTTTAGGAGGCCGAGGCAGGTGGATCACTTGAGGTCAGGAGTTTGAGACCAGCCTGGCCAACATGGTGAAACCCCGTCTCTACTGAAAATACAAAAATTAACCAGGCGTGCTAATGGGTGCCTGTAATTCCAGCTACTTTGGAGGCTGAGGCAGGAGAATTGCTTGAACTCAGGAGGCAGAGGTTGCAATAAGCCGAGATGGCACCACTCCACTCAAGTCTGGGTAACAGAGTGAGACTCCATCTCACACACACACAAAAAAAAATCACTCCATTTGATAAAGCTCCAAATCATAATAGCTGATAAAAGAGTCCCCCAACACTAGTTCTATAAAGGGTGCACACTGTATTTACACATACAAATGCATGCAGCACTTGAAAAATATTAAGCAACCAAAACATACATATGTAAATATGTGCAAAGACTAATATACTTCTACATGTATGCCCTTATTAAGTACTTTTATGTTTGACTAGATGTGCTTCTTTTGAAATCTTTTTAGCTTCATTACATGTTTTTGTAATTTCATGGAAGTAAATTAAAAGTAACATAGTTCTAAATCCTAAACAGCTAAGACTGCATTAAATTGCCACCTCCATCTACAGAATTGTATGGCCCTTGAAAAACTTCCATGGATGAGTGCAATTTGCAACCAAAACCAAAAGCCTCTTTACCTATTTTTTAAATGTAGTGAATTATTCAAACATATTTTCCAACCGATGAAAGAATTCTCTTATTCCTGCCATGCCGGGACCCATTCTGAGTTTTACACCCACCATACCAGGTATTACTACTTGCTGAAAGCCTGCATTAAAGCATTAAGGGACAACAACAAGGTTACATTATCTTAACATATTCCACTTAATGGTTTTTGATTGTGTTATGAAGTGCCCTCACATTGGTTCCCAAAAATGTTTGCTATTTTAAGAGCCACACTATTAAGAACCACAAGTCAGCCAGGCACGGCAGCTCATGTCTGTAATCCCAACACTTTGGGAGGCCGAGGCGGGAGGATGGCTTGAGGCCAAGAGTTCGAGACAAGCTTTGGCAACATAGCAAGACCCTGTCTCTACAAAAAAATTTTAAAAATTAGTTGGGTGTGGTGGTGCACAGCGGCAGTCCCAGCTAATCGGGAGGCTGAGGTAGGAGGATCACTTGAGCCCAAGGGTTCAAGGCTGCAGTAAAGCTGTGATCATGCCACTGCACTCCAGTTCGGACAACAGACTGAGAACTGACCTCTTGGAAAAAAAAAAGAAACAGGCCAGGCATGGTGGTTCACACCTATAATCCCGGTACTTTGGGAGGCCGAGGTCGGGAGTTCAAGACCAGCTTGACCAACATGGAGAAACCCCATCTTGACTAAAAATACAAAATTAGCTGGGTGTGGTGGCATATGCCTGTAATCCCAGCTACTTGGGAGGCTGAGGCAGGAGAATCACTTGAATCCGGGAGGGAGAGGTTACAGTGAGCCAAGATCGTGCCATTGCACTCCAGCCTGGGCAACAAGAGCAAAACTCCATCTCAAATGAAAAAGAACCACTGGCTGGGTGGAGTGGCTCATGCCTGTAATCTCAGCACTTTGGGAGGCCAAGGTAGGTGGATTTCTTGTGGTCAGGAGTTCAAAACCAGCCTGGCCAACATGGTGAAACCCCAGCCACTCCGGAGGCTGACGCAGGAGAATCGCTTGAACCCAAGAGGCGGAGATTGCAGTGAGCCAAGATCTCACCACTGCACTCCAGCCTAGGCAACCGACAGAGTGAGACCCCATATAAAAAAAAAATGTCTATAGACTATAGAGTTAAGATTTGTGAATTATAACCTGACAAGCTTGTGAGAGATCTGTTGGCACAGTCATATGAAATCATCCTTCTCAGGTGTTCTGTTTGCTACAAAACATAGCATGCTTTACTTGGAAGGGCATGCCTCATTTGAGTGAGGCAAAAATATTGTCATCTCACCAAGAATTCCCAACACTAGTCATGACACTGGGCATCCCCGCAAGGAACGCTCGCCTTCACTTTTTAAAGGTTTGTTCTGACCCAGTTCTTCTTTGTTCTCCATGATGGTGCGAGAAAAGAAGGAAGAAGGATGAGAGATGAAAAAGTAGGGAAAAAAGAAGAGAAAAAGGAGAGAAAACAAACAGTGATCTGGCTGGTGTGCATTTTTGTGTACTTTCGTGAAAAATATATGTATACTTTTTTGAGATGGAGTCTCACTCTGTCGCTCAGGCTGGAGTGTAGTGGTGCAATCTCAGCTCACTGCAGCCTCGACCTCCCAGGTTCAAGCAATTCTCCTGCCTCAGCCTCCTGAGTAGCGGGGACCACAGGCGTGTGCTAATTTTTGTATTTTAGTAAAGACAGGATTTTACCATGTTGGTCAGGCTGGTCTCGAACTATGGACCTCAAATAATCCACCTGCCTTGGCCTCTCAAAGTGCTGGGATTACAGACGTGAGCCACCGTGCCTAGTCTTAAAAATATTTTAAAACGTCATGTTTCTATAGTGGTTCCTTCTGAGGTGGGAAGAATGTGACAAGATTGGGGAGGTCCACATAGAGGACATCCAGTTGATGGTAATTTTAAAATATGGGTGTAGAGTTAAAGGAGTGTTCACTGAACCCTTATTTTTTATAATTTACATTTATTTTGTGAATATACTTTTGTATTTCTATTTTACTGTATTTTATTTTATATTTAGTAAAAACAATTTTTGAACATAATTTTGCAAGTTCTACAATGACACAGGTGGTAGGCAATAGAGTATAATTAGTTAAAAGCACAGGGTCTAAGGTTAAAATGGCATGCATGAAGCCCAGTCCCACCACTTACTAGCTCTGTGACCTTGGGCAAGCTACTAACCCGGTTACCTCATCTGTAAGGTGGAGATAATAATGACCTATGTAGGTTTACTGTGAGGATTAAGTGATTAGTACAGTGACTGACACATCCTAAATCCTCAATATGCCAGCCAGCCATTATTATTGTTAGAAGAACAGGCTCCCTGCATTGTGGGCTTTTCTGAGTGTGTACACTCCCTCCTTGTGTTTCTGATCGCAAATAAATATTTATTAACAATGATTTATTGAATAAAACTATCAGCAATCAAGTTCCACTTTTTTAAGAGCCACTCCGTGTGTCACTAGAAGATGCCCAAATGAATGGAGGAAACAAATCTAATGGTTTATAAGAAAAGTGTGAAGAATCTGAATATCCAGGAACCCTTTCAGGGAAGCCTCATTAATATTAACTGCTATATATAAGAGAAGACCAAAATTCTGTCTCGGGGTACAGACAAAATCCAGCAGTAATTTAAAGTATGAAGATATCTACCACTCACCTGTAGGTGTACTCAGAGTTCACAAAATACATTAAGTCCTAATATCTTACATTGACAAAGAATAATCATTAGGAAGATCCACTTAACTCTTTTTAAAAGGTTGCAGTGAGCTGAGATCGTGCCATTGCACTCCAGCCCAGGCAACAGTGCGAGACTCCATCTCAAAAAAGAAAAAAAAACTGTCCCTCAAATAATACAAAAAAAGCATCAAAGAGTAATCAAAGATTAATCTGTTTGAAACCATGGGCCACAACTTATTCCGCATTATTTTTCCCTGCTAGCATAGTACTCTGCATATAGTAGGCTGAGAAAAAATAGAATTAAATTGAATGCAAAATGAGATTAGACAAAAAGATGTTTAAAGACCCTTCTGATTTAAATTTCATGAATTACAAACTGCCTAAATACTCAAACTGTTATTGATTATAGCTGATATTCATGGCTAAACTCCAGAATTCACTGATACATTAATAATGAAATGTATTCCTCTCTCCTTAATTTCACTTAATGTGAGCATGTTCAATCTACAGCTTTGATTTCAGTGTTTAATTTTATTATCAAAGTATTAAGAATATGCCTACCTGGTAAGTTTTTAGAAACATAAAGGAACTGACAACTTTGGGAAATATATACGTTCTGAAAGAACGAAATTAAGGCATTTGCTTTGTGTTCTTTCTTTAACAGTTCCTAATCTCCCTTCAGTGTATTTATTGGGCATTAGTTGTTATCTAACACAACAGTTCTCCTAGTAGAATGAAATCAACCTTAAAATAAAGAGCTTTTCAGGAGTAAAAAGAGGCTGTTACAAAAGAAAAATGCTAGAGGGGAATTATCTTTATATCACATAGTAATTTACATCTTAGAAACTTAAAGTTGTATCATAGCTGTACAATTAGCCAAAACTGAATATATTTTATGAGATACTGATTACTCACAAGAACAAAGGGAAATCCAATTGAAGGATTAAATTCCTGTCAAAACCAGTCACTCATGTGTCTGCACGTATATCGCAAAGTGTTTGTGAATTTGATGCATATTCCAGGTATAAATCCCCTTTCCAGAGAGCAGAAATTCCTAATCTGCCACACTTCAAACTGAAATAGATTCATCAGCATTTCGGGTACATACGAACAGCTCCCCAAAGCCATTAGCAAAGGTTATTTGTAAGTGGAAAATCAAGAGACATAAAGATTTCAAAGTCAAAATGCAATGTTATTTAGTTTTCTGCAGCACATAACAAGGCAAAAACTTTCAGTCAGAGAGAAAAGCAAAAGCAAGATCATTGCTCCTTCACAGAGACTGGTAAATAAAGAATGTATGCACAAAACACCTGGATTTGCTTTCCTGTTTCCTTGCCAGTAACTTTTTTTATATGATTATCTAACAGTCAAACAAACCTTCAAAGCAATGAATTACGCATAGACACACAGACACACTCTCACACAAAAGAGAGCAAAGCTGATGCTATTTAAATATCGTGAAATATTTTCCTAACCATGCACAGATGGAAGTACAGACGTTTCTGCCAACCGCCTGGTTCAGAAACTTTGCTCTATTTTTAATTATTTGGTTCAGAGGACCCATTTGTGATTAACTTCTGTGTTGCATGGCAAAGGAAGTAAAGTTCCTGACCCACAGCAAAGAACACAGAAAGAAGCTTAATTATTTTTAAACAGCTAGTGTAATATTGTAAACCATGTGTAGAGACAACTAATTTGTCAAAGACCAGTTGATGACTGTTGCAGTTTGAAGCTGTAGGGTGTATGAAGAACAGAAAAATCCAAGGGAACTTTAGTAAGTGATGCCAAAATGAATCTCATAATGACAAATAGATTTTCATCTCTGAGAAATAACAATGGAGCAAGAAATAGAGAGGAAGAAATTAATAGTGTTGTAAGGCCTAATCTCATTAGCAGGAGAAGTTTCAGTTTTGACTAGGAGCAGTGAATGGAATGCCAGCAGCCTTAAGCACAGGAAATGGACTCAGATGCAAGAAGTTGGTCAGGAAACTCCAGCCATAATATTCAGAATAACACACTAGAATTTTAGCTGAGCAAGATGAAATCCCAGAAGAGAAGTAGAAAGAGAAGCGATGGTTCAGCAATAAGACAGAAAAGATGGTCAAGGTATAAACAATGAACAGGTTGGAACTGTTTGGAACTGTTTTATATTTTTAAGTGCTGTGCATTTACAAAACAAAAAAAAAAGTAGTTTCTAAGTAAGAAAACAATAAACCCAAGTAGCAAATTAGTTATAAACACAGAAAGAAAACAAAATAGACGGCATCCAGTTAAGAATTTTGAAAGCAGAATAGGGCTAAAACCTAACAGAACTTTATTCCTCGAGAAGCTTTCTCTTGATCAATAGCCCTAAAATTTTAAGACATTCTGTATTTAAGTCCTTAATGTACTTGGAAAACCTCAGAGTCTACTGAATCATACAGGCCACGAAGAGCCAAAATATTTCAGGAGTAATAGATGTTGCTAAAAATTACATTTGCAGCGAATCCAGGACCAATGCCAGAATGATCTGGGAATTTAAAAAACAAAACAAAACAATAAACACCTAATTTCTCCTTGAGGAGAGTAGAAATGGAGAATAAAAACAGAACTTCCTTTGCTGGGGGCTCTCAATTCTGAAGCTCAGTTCCTTAAACCGCTAACACTGGCTATTAGCTTTCAGCTGGGCTGGTTGACATGGCAAGACCCTTAGAAGGGCACATCCATATTTGTGGGTAATTATGGAATTTCAACAATTGGAAGCAACTCAGGGAGCCATCATGAGGAGAAGAAAAAAGGTAATCTGTTTCAGAAAGTCCAAAATAAAGTGACTTTATTATATACATATTCATATTCCTCCTCTATTATGCAAATAGGTGAAGTATGTGTATGGGTGTGTGTATTGGCAAAAGACTAGAATTTTAAAAAACCAGGATTTTAAAAAAAGCACATCTATGACTGAATTATTTATAGTTGCAAATGGCTTCATAATACCAACCTAGTATTATTACTGCAGGCACTGGCCCTGGCTTAGAAATGTTATTTCATTTAGAAATGTTTCTATTTGTTGTAACACTAGCCACTGTGATGGGGTTTGACCCGTGTCTTTGTCCATAAAACAACCCTATAAGATATGTAAACATGAATTCAATTTTCTTTAAGTGAAAGAAAGCAAAAATATGGTTGTCAGAACAAGAACTGCTTTCTGTGGGATATTCTAGTTAAATGAAAGCTATTCAACTTGAATCAATTGCTGTATCCATTCTCCAATACACAGCAGATTTATATTTCAGAAGGTTTTTGACAGAGAACAAAATGTTACTGAAATATCTCTTCCATTCCTTTTGTCCTACATAACATTCCATGGGCTGAACTCCCAACGAGGGGCATATATTTGTCAGCTTCTGTTTGCACTTGTTCTATTGTAGTTTGTCTTTGTTGCAAATTTTCCATTTTGACCCTTTCCTGACAAAACATTAATATATACATTTTGGTTGTGTTACGACTTGTTAAAAAAAAAAAAAAAAAAAACCCTGACATTTTTATTCTGTACCACCTTGAAGCACCCATAACTTTTTAAAATAAGCCCTGCTATTTAAATCAGTGATCAAATTTTTTTTGTATCTGCTTATGTAAACACTAGAAATCCAGGGAGAAAATTCTTCCAATCCAACAATCCACACATTCCTACACAAAACCAATCACTTGAGTATTTAAAAGCTAGATCTGTGGCGAGAGACAGGCTAGAACTAGCACAAACAAGTCTGTGCAAGATGAATTTATCCTCCACTGCCTCTACTCCAGGTCATCCCAGGACTATGCCTGTGAGCTAATGCCAAGATGGAAAAAAAATGGATGGGTGCCTTTTTTCTAGTGTATTTGTGTAAAGACTCCCCAAGAGCTCAAGAGGGAGTTGCTGCTCTGCAAATGACAAAAGGTGTGTAGCTGCAAGCCAATCAGGCAGAACATTTAACATCGTCCTGGCCATTAATGACTAAGCCTGCGCCAGCTCAAAAGCGGTCGGAAACAGACGTCAGACTATGGGACAGCTAAAACATTGATTCTCAGGGATGTCGTCCAAGAGGAGGTCTCTGAAGCTGGGTGTCATCCTTTAGGGTGGCCCAGAATAAAATGGTGACACATTATGCCTCCTGGCGAGTTCATAAACACTTTGAACGGCAAAGACACCAAGTCCCGGGGACTTCCAACGAAGATCTTGGGGCAAGAAGAGATGTCCACCAGCACTTTCTGTTCTGTGACCTGTTAGAGAGAAACATTCTTAGCTACTCCATCACCAAGCAAAAGTCCCTGCCAGGCTGTATCTCCTTGACTCCTGGGGGAAAAGCTGTAAAGAGATTGAGGAGGGCACCTAAGAGAGAGATAGATGGCCTTTGTCTTGTTTGCAGTTTCACTAATGAGGTTTCCAGATATAAAATCTGGCTTCTGTCAAGTCTAAATGTGAATCAGATTCTGAGTATTTCTGCAACTAACAATATGGTCACCAGCAAACTACTTCTGCAAAGAAAGAAAAGGCTTCATAATAGTTATTGCTTCTGGCACCAAGAGATGGACAGTGTATTTTACTAAAAGATTAGCCACTAGATGTTGTAACAGTAGATACTTAATTATTGGGGAAGTAACTCATGGTTTTTGCAGATACAAATGTCCAGCACCAGCTCCTTCTTGCCTAGCAGAATAAAGCTGATTCACAGGTGGCTGGAAGAGCTTCTTCTAATCTCTTCTGTAACATCTAGTAGAAAGACAGCAGATACCTACACAGAGAAATGATCTGATTGTACAATCTTCCCATCCACAAGGACTTCTCAGAGCAGATGACATTAAATTTCAAGATTCCATATATGAGATCAATTTGATTTCCTGATGTTTTCAACCTTGCTGTCATGGGTGCATTAAAGGAAATACACCTCAAAAAGCTCAACTTTAAAGGTGCAGTGGCTGCAAAATGAAAATCATTCTCTGTTTATCCATCAAGTTTAGGCTCCGGCACTATAAAAACATCTAACATATAATTTTTTATTTATTTATTTATTTTTTTTAGAGACAGGGTCTCACTCTGTGGCCCAGGCTGGTCTTGAACTCCTAGCCTCAGGCGATCCCACCGCCTTGGCCTCCCAAAGCACTGGGATTCGAGGCATGAGCCACCATGCCCAGCCTCTAACATCTAAATTTATAATGAAGCACTGTTTCAAGGGGTAACTGGGAATTGCACATACCCAAGGGATTGGACTCTTGCATTTCTTCACCATTCCAGCTCCATCTCAATATTGTTCTAGGGGGCTAACTCAGTTAAGCAAAGACATGTCTTTTCATCCTACAACTTCGGAAACGCAAATAATTTCTGGGGTATCTTGGCTGTACAAGGAGATGGAGAAGAGAGCTGAACTACAAGTCAGAAAATCAGGTTTACAGCACAGGCTACATGTATTTCTAACCACTGGAATCTAGTAAATCAGTCAACCTCGTAGGTTCTGTTTTCTCCCCTAGAAAATGAGGGTACTTTTCTACTCAAGCAGTCATTATGACTATCCACTGAAACAATTTATCTAAGGCACTCTGAATTCTGTGATGTGCTATTATCAGCTGAGGCAGACTCATGACACATTAACCACTGCACATGGTCTGGATAACTGTGGTTTTAAAGGCTGTAGTTACTAAATCAGAGGCTCAGACTGCAGAATACCATCAAGAGAAAGGGTACTTTTGACTAGTCCTACAAGAGAAACAGGAAACACAGGACTTTCCTCCCAGTATACTCTTTGAAGACCCTGGACATTTAAAATGAGAAAGTTTTAAGAACACTTTTTTTAAAGGAAGTCT
This sequence comes from Homo sapiens, assembly GCF_000001405.40. Lineage (NCBI taxonomy): Eukaryota > Metazoa > Chordata > Mammalia > Primates > Hominidae > Homo > Homo sapiens. Next base: position 16,741,497 of record NC_000006.12, read on the forward strand.
CATTTCTTGAGACTTCAGGGCAAAAAGTTAAATTAAGTGCACCCTTCAGAGACAGAAACTTTGCGATTTCAGGTCACCGAATGTTCTCTGTACAGCAGGACAGCCAACAGCTGTGTTTGGTCATTTACACATATTAAAAAACCCTCCCTCCAGGACTTAAAGATGATATGAACTGTGTCATGGAGTTTAGTCTGAGGAAGGCTCATATACTACTGGTGAGACCCACATTTCAAGGTCCTACTCAGAAAGACGTTTCTTCATTTTAATGTTGTTTATTACTCACATTCTGCTAATCACTAGGATGACTGAAACAGCTTTGCAGCTCGCTGGGAGGAAAATTAAAGAAAGTAGTCTTCCTCCTTTTATATCTGTTTACACAGATTGTTAAAATAGTACGGTTCATTTGGACGATGTTGAGATGGAAAAAAAATATAACTTGTTCCTTCTGAAGAGTAGAGAAAGGTTCAAGGGGTTACAGAGGCTTAAACAGAACAGGAAAGCCAAAATAAAACACCGAAATTTGGGCTTAGATGCCATCACCATATTTCCTTCAAACTCAATAGAAAGCAAAGTTGTATGGAAAGAGATTTTTAAATAAATAACCATGGCATTTTTTTCTTCTGTCAATACAATAATAAACTTGTCTTATGGGTCTATGACCACTTACAAAAGAAAAAAAAAATCCAAATCAAACCAAACAAAACTGCTATCTTTTGAAAAGTATCAGATCAGACACCAGAAAGGCAGCAGCTGGGGAACACATTCTTTCCCACTTCCTTAGATGAAGGCTGTCTCCCAATAAAAGCCACAACTTGGGGTCATACTTCTCTCTAGTCTGGGTTGCAGTGACCCAGGCAGCTCCAGAGGTGAACTGGACACAGAGCCTGGAAAAGGGGAAGAATAATCAAAACAAAATTCATCCAGAGTCATTTCTGCCTCCCCTTGGAACCTGCCAGGGCAGGGCAAGGTTAAAAGGGCCTTAGGGTACTCTCCTCTGGGGGTGCTGCAGCGGTCAAAGGACCCAGGGCTTCAGTTTCCAATGGGAGGCATTTCCATACCTGTCAGAATCTCTTAACAGGTTCTGACATATGGTCCAACATATGGTCGCTCACACCATCAACCACAAATGCACTCCCTCCACCTGGAGAAGGCGTCCTCACCTACCACCAACAGTGCAACTTCGAGATGAAGTCATTTACAACCCAGAGGAGATGGATGGTCACCCGGCCGGCCAACTCAAAAGGGCACAGATAAGATTAGATGGACCTCCTACCCCACCGGTTTCATACTTGACGAGCAGGGTTTGCAGAAGAAGGTTTCATGGTCACCCTACCCCTTTAAGCAGTTCTCCTTTCCATGTGGTACCTTAACCTAAATCTAACCAACCAACCTCACTTAGAACTTCAGAACTACTCTCTTCCAGATAAAAGTATCTCCTTGGGATAACTATCTCACTAGAAACTTTCACCTGAGTTGCAGAGTATGACCACGAGAGCACTTAAAGGAGACTGATCAAAGTCAGAAAACAGATGTTAAGAACGTGAACCTCAAATTCATTTATTCATTCGATGCAATAGCTGCATTTCTAAAAATCTTCATATAATCGAAATTCAGTAGGAATTTTTTCAATGAGGAGGAAGACAGTCTTAGACGTTCAAAAACAAAAGCATTTTTCCTGTATTGAATTTCAATAATAATAGTGTTTTGTGTGGTTATAAGTGCAGTACTATAAAACTTAAATATGATTGAGCGAATTCAGCACTCTATTACGTACAGCTTTCTTTCCAGAAAATTCATCATTGGACCTTTCTTTCTCCTTAGCACAGGCTTCTTACACATTTTTGTCACCTTTTCACTCACTGTGTGATGGACAAAGCACAAAGCCAGTGGAACAAACAGGTGCCATAGCTTTTTCCACCACTGTGGTTCACAGGACCCCATGCTGGTTCCTGACCACAATTATACACACCACAATTATATACATCACAGTCCATATTAATAGATGGAATCACATCCAATTTGTAACATAAGCATCACAGGGGGAATGCCCGTATGTATTGCCCATTCACTAGATGCCACATACTGGAAAGAGGGCAGTCCCTCCTATCGCTGGGCCAGGAAAGGGGTTGTGAAGTATTATACAAGGGGAAGAATGGGGTGCTATGGGAACCCAGAAAAGGTAGCAAATAACATAGTCCCTAGTCCAAGGGCTTCGTGAGGAAGAGACTCTAAGCTGAGATTTCAAGAATGAGGGAAAGGTAGCCAGACAGTGCAGAGAGAGGAGCTGGGTTCTAAGGAGGAAGAACAACATGTCTAAAGGCTGGAGCAAAAAACAGAGTATGGCACTTGAAGGAGGAAGTGCGATGGGACCGACGTGGGACGAATACAGGGCAACATGTGAGTGATGAGGCTGGAGAGATAAGGAAGGTCCTCAAAACCTATGGAGCCAGGCTAAGGATTCTAGACTTTATCCTGAGGACCATGAGAACCCAGGGAGGGAGTTAAGAAAAACAGAGATGTCAGCAGATTTCAAATACTAACAAATGTTCATTTTGGCTTCAAAGAGGAAAAACATGTTGGACCAGAACAACAATACATCTAGACAGGCCATTTAGGAGGTATATCATATGCCAAACCACCCCAGCTCAGCAGAGCCACTCAGCTAAAACTCACACTTTGAGACCAGCCTTCCTCAAAAAATTCAATCCCTAGGAAGTTGTTCCCAACCTTCCACTGGAAGAGCTATCCCCGGAGAAGAGCTACAACAGGAAAGGAATCAGGGTAGCATCGTGCCTCTCTGGTTCCTACATGGATGAAAACCAGCGCCAAGGAGCCCATTCCTTAGCAGGGCAGCCTGCTACGTAGCAGAAATGTAAGACAGAAGTTGTAAAGACCCCGACCCCAGAGACTTGGATAATGGTTAGACTTTGGCCAGGCCTGAGATTCCTGACTGATCTCTCTAGGCCCTAGTCAGGGAGGCTGCCAGACATGTTTCTACCCACTGCTCCCAGGACAGGGCTCCCTGAGAAACACACAGGTCAGCAACGGAGGGTTGAGAACTGGGCAGAGAGGATGCCACAGCCAGGAAACCGGCACAGGGTGGGTGAGAATCAAGGAGTGAGGGGCAGGTGGGAGAAGGGGAAAGGGGCCCTTGGAAATAGAAAGACTGGGACTTCAACAGGAAACAGTTCCCAAGGGGAAAAGTGAGCAGAAGAAAGAAAGAGCTATTCCCAGCAAAGCCATCCAGTGGACCACTCGCCAGCCTGGTGCAGAATTTGAGCTGCGGTAATCTCATTTATTCCTGCCAGGTTGGCCCTGGGTACAAGTAGAAGAAAAGAGAGGCTGATCATATAAAAACTTGAACCGTTGTACAACAAAAAGCATCATCACTGAAATGAAAGGACACTGGACTAGGGAAGTAGCTGTAGCAAATAGGACTTTTTAAATGGATTAATATCTAGAACATATAAAGAGCTCATATACATAGATTAGAAAACATCAAGACTTCCATTTGCTAATTGTAAAAAGAACAATTAGTAAATAAACACAGATGGAAATGTTCCATCTCTGAGAGGGATCAAAGGAATGAAAACTTTAAAACCAAAGAGCCTATTAAATTAGCCAAAAAATAGTAAGTCCCACAATTATTAAGATTGAAGCTAGAGACATTCTTATATCATTAGTAACAATGTAAATTGGTACAGCCTTTTAGAAAGCAATTCAGAGCAAGCTCCCTCTAACTTAGTATTGAGCCTTCTGATGTGAGTGTGTCCTCGGTAAATACTTGTGTGCAAAGACATTCGCTGCGGCTTTACAACAGTAAACAATTAGAAACAACTCGAATGTCCAAAAATGATAGGAAACTTAAAAATTAAGATAAAACAACCTGATAGAATGTTATGTGATCCTTGCAAATGAGAACTGTATAGCTGAAGTTACTAAGAATGTTTATGCTAAATGGGAAACACAAAACTGAAAAAAAGATATAAGTTACATCATCAAGAACTAAAAAACAACACATAAAAATGAACTTGATTTATGGACTGGAATGGTGGAATCAAAGGGAACTTTTGCTTTTATTGGCTTTCCTTTATTATTGTAAGGTTTGGGCAATACATGTTTAAAAACATGGTATTTTTATCAGTCATGTGTAGTAAACACTCTTTTCTGTAGAGCAGAGCTACCTGCGGAAAACGTCACTGCCAGGTTAGTGGAGGGTGCTTAGTCCTTCCCAAGAGCTACCTGCAGAAAACGTCACTGACAGGTTAGTGGAGGGTGCTTAGTCCTTCCCAAATTTCAAAGGTCCTTTTGAGATTCAAACTCTGCCTACTAAAACTGGCTGCTCTGAGAAGCTCCTCCTACCCTGACTATACCTCAAATGCAGCACTTTCCTTTGTTCTTGCTTTTTTTATTCAGCTCTTAAATGCTATGCCTTCCGTGTGTGTGTGTGTGTGTGTGTGTGTGTGTGTGTGTGTGTCTGTTTTTATTAGTTATTGAGATACTACCATAAGCAACATCTAGAGAGTGAGTGCACATTTAATCTTTCCAGTGATTCTGTGAGTTAGGTGATATTATCATCCCCATTCAACAGATGAGGAAATTGAGGATCACAGATTTAAGGAATGTGACCTGGACCACAAAGCCAGGAGCCAGAGCCAGAAGGATTCAAGCCTCAATCTCCCTGACTTTAAAGCCTTCATTTTCACCCTCCCTCTCTGTCTATGAAACAAATAAATTAAAACAACAAACCCTCTCAAATGTCACCTTTTCTATTTGCACTAGCTGCCTAAAGAAACTATTAATAATTGCAATGAATCAAGAGGCATCTGTATGAACTGCTTATGAATTAACCAAAAAGACAAGGCAATGCTGCACACACTAATTGGGAAAGTTGACGCAGAAGAGAAAAGGAATTACCTAGAGACTAAAACCTGCACCTGCAGGTAAAACCAAATGACATCAAAACGATTTCTACTTGCAAATTAAAAGCAGAATATGGCCCTTGATATTACTGCTTAGAAAAGCAGAGCTTCTGCACTCCTCTTGCAAAAAATAATCCCACAATCAGCTGAAAGATTCTTTCCAGTTATACTGCATTCCACCTCCAGAAATGGATGTTGTTTGGGACATGGTAGCAAGAACAGTAAAAAGGAGCGGAGGAAGTATTCAGGTATGAAACTAATATAGATGGGGTGATAAATGAATTTAGGCACCGCTTATGACTTACTCTATAAATAATGACATAATAATAGCTAAAATATAAATTCTAATTAAATACAAAATCTAACAAAGTCAAACAACAGCAAATGATGTTTGACAGAAGCAAAGGTCTTGGGGGAGCCGGGAGCAAGAATTACAATAAAATCTATTCATGGAACTGTACAATGTCAGAGATAGAAGAGTCCCGAGAGATCATTTCTTTCAACCTCCTTGTGTTTTGGAGACAGGAAAACTGAGACCCAGCAAGGTACAGTGAGTAGCACAAGTCATCCTGTTGCAGGGCAGGCAACAGAAACTGAGCCTCCAAACTACCAGTCCAACAGCACACCATACTCACTCTGTAGGGTCCTGGAAGACTACTCCATTTGAAACCATATTTTCAAAAGATCATTAAACATTCTATACATATTAAATTCCTTTTTAATAATTTTCTAATGCACAGGGGCACATTTTAAAAAGAAGCCTGGTTTTGATTTCTTTTGGAAAACTGCACGCTGCTCGGTGTTTAATCTGGTATTGAGTGAAATATTAACAGGCCATATAATGGTTTCACTGTTCCTTCAGTAAAGCTAAACAGAACTCGAAAAACATATCCCCCAGGCCTACAGTGGAGTTTCTGGAGCACACATTAAACTCCACGCTCTGCTCAACAAGCCCATCGCTGTTAAGTAACTCATCAGAAAATAAAGAGGGAATTACCAAAGGGGAATTGCCAAGCAATTAGTTCTCTGAAGCAGACGACATACAACTGTTACAGGGAGGAGCTTCCCGGTTAGTCATATGTCAGAGTCAGAGCCTACTAATCTGTAAATAAAAATGCATCACATATGATTACAGCTGTGATGTAGGCTGAAGCTGCCAGGCTAGGGCACGAATAGTAAATCTTGCATCCTCTTCTCGATTTCCGTGGGTCTGTAAAAGCAAGAGATGTTGCCTTGAAGACCAAAAAAAAAAAAAACAAAAGTCCTCAGTAATTTTTCACTCAGTGTAAGAAAGACAATCTGGCCTTCCCTAAGCCAGCTAAGAGAAAGTGATCTTTCTTCTCTATCATCTTGACATGAATGAGCTCAGATTCATTCACTGTTCTAGTGAAGGAGAGAAAATGAGACTGGGCGAGGCAGGGGCAGAGGGGATGTGAGTTCTAAGCTTCCTTATGGCCACCCTGACTAAAGCGTGACCTCCTTTTGCTGCACGTTTTATTCTTAGAGCTTGCGTTCAGCGCCACACCACCACCTATCACACTGGAGAGACAAATAGTTCATATCTGCCAAATCTTGCAAGCTGAGCAATGACCCAGTGAAGTTCTTTTAAGAGTCAAAAGTTCATCATCTCGCTGAGACTCTTGATGCTGAATAACATTTGGATCCAACTTAAGCCAATCCCCTGAAACGGATAAGCAAATTGCCACTGTCATCATTTTCTTCAATTAATAATTATTGAAAGTGCATAGGAATCTCAAGGAGATATGAGTAAGAGTGAAAGAAAGGGAGAAAACACCACAAAGCCTGCATGGGACAGCCTGTGTCAGAAAGCTCATATGTGACTGAACAGACAGGCAGGCATCAAAAGAGAAGGCTCCAAGGAAGGACCCTTCCTTGATCCTGACTTCCTAGACTGTGTTACCTGTGTCATGGCTCTTTAAATATTACTCCAAGCCATGCCTTGCCTTATGCACTCGACTGTAAGCTTCTTAAGGACAGGGCTTAAGGAACAGGGCTGAGAGTGTAGACTGGGATCCAAGCACGATTCTATCACTTAACAGCTGGGAAACCTTGGGGAAATTATTCACCCTCTCTGTGCCACAGTTTCCTCGCCTGTGCAATGGAGAAAATAATGATGCCTACCTCAAAGGACTGTAATGAGGATTCAATAAGTTAATATGCAGAATAGTAAATGTGAACTATTGATCATCTCCATATTCCCTAGAGGGCCTTGTTGGCATAATGCGTCTCATACATTAGATGCTCATTAAATAATTGCAGACAAGAACGATCTGCCCCTGGAGTTGTTTGCTCCATCCCTCTTGTTCCTGTCTTAACCTTCTTGTCTTTGATGAAAGTTAAATAAGTCACTGCTTTTATTCTGAGCCCTTTTGGGCTACACAGAGAGCCCATCCTAACTAACTCAGCACCAAAAAAAAAAACCACAACTTAATCCTCAAATTTTCTCTCATTACATTAAATCAGACTGCTCACTAACATCATCGTAACATCATCTCCAGCCTTCTCTTTCACTTTACATCAGGAAGTCTTAGACTAACTTTCTCCCCAGACCCAAGATTCACCAATTCTATATCTCTTTATTTTCTATAAAGTATAAATGGGAAGCCAAATTGTTCAAAGAGCTGTGTCTAGTAGCTAGGTATATACAGTATACACGCACGCACAAAAACACACACATCTCACATTTTAAAGAGTCTGCAGAAAGCCTCCAGGGAATCCTCTAAAGTTACAAAACACACCCAAATTAATGTGGTTTATCAAAGTACAGTAAATGAATTGCCACAAATGAACAATTGCTACAGAGTCAAGTAGATGGCACATTGTGATTTACGCATATCATGTGAGATGAATAAATCAACGGTAGAAAAGATCAAAGAAATGCTGGAATTGTTGTTAAAACGTACAGGGCTTCACTGAAAATCTTAATAAAACTGTTTAGAGGAAAATAGAAGGATCATTTGTTTAACGAGATACCGCATACGCTGAATTTCAAACGCAGCATTCATTTTTATACACACACACATTAGATTTAGCTAAAATTAGCTCAAGTTCCTATTTTTTTAAAGGTCTTAAAGGAAGAGAGGTTTTGACAAGATTTCATTGAACTGTAGTTCAGCACTGAGTTTCCAAGGTGCCTGAGCTGCAGAAGAGTCCTTATGGCCCACGCATACATCACCCAACTCCTCCAGCCACCCAGCCTCCTTCACCCCAGATCATGAAAAGAAGGCAGACGAAGGCCATGCCACATCAATGTTGAAGCTACTCTCCGCTGCCTCTTACCTTCTCTCTACACATTCTACACCAGCTGACGTCATCCCTGAATTCAGTCATCCCCCTCCTGGGTGTCAAACTTTTTGCCAGGCCCAAGAACCCAATTTCAAAGATCACTTTTATGCCAAGGACTCCTCCAAATTTATCTTCAGACTTGACCTCTCGGCAGTTTTATTCCCATACTCTCTACTGTCTGCTCGAATCCAGAAATTCAGATGTCCACCAGCACCTAGGCTTCAGTCAAAATGTCCTGGTCAGTTACATACCGTGCATTGGCTTGTTATGTCCCAGACACACACATGGCCTTCCTCATGCTCCATCCATCTCTTCCCACAGAAATGCAATCTAGTCAGCAGAGCTCAACTCAAGTGATCCCTCCTCCTCAAAGTCTTTCCTGATCACTCCTACTCAGCGTCACTCTTCTGAATTCCTTCACTGTTAGAACACTGTTAGAACCCCATTCTATTCGTATTCATTATTTCAGAGAGTTTCTTCTTTCCCCTGCCTGACCAGGAAGAAAATAACTGCCTTCCGGTAGCTCTTATTCACTTCCATTCCCACAGCACCATGCAGTAGTTTTAAAAAAATTCACAATGAATAAATGAATGAATCATTTCTTTACATAAATAGTGACTGTGAACAAGTTAGGTCATAACTTGCTATAGCTGTATCATATTTATAAAATAACTAGAACCAGAAAGAACTATAATGTAGGTTTAAGAAAAAAACTGAATGAATATAAAAGAGTACAACATGAATGATACTATTTTTCTGCCTACGTTGAGCCGTCAATCGTGAGGACTGTAATGAGGCCATTATTGATGCAAAATGTTTAGATAATGCTTATAAGCTTTCTTTAAATGCAATCATAGAAAATGTCAGCGCTTAAAATTCAAGGTGACTTTGCGCTACTTCGTCAGTATTTTAGTATTCATAAGACACTTAAACTTGCCTAACATATTATAAAAACCTAGGTCTCTTCTCAATAAGCTGCCCATATTGACCAAGAGATATGACTTTTTGCTGCCTGTTTTTTCACAATAAAATTCTTGAGATATTTCTGTTATCACAAATGACTCCCTTTCAACACCACAGGTTAAAAAAAATGCACGTGTACTCAACCCATTTGCAATTAAACTATTTCCCCAAAGATCTAAATGTGAGGATTTTCAGCCTAGCACATAACCGTTAAAATGAGTATCATCCCTAAGAGATAAAGTAGCAGTAAGACACTCTACCTTTTTCTTTTCTTTCCTCTCTTTTTTTTTTTTTTTTTTGAGATGGAGTCTCACTCTGTCGCCCAGGCTGGAGTGCAGTGGCGAGACCTGGGCTCACTGCAACCTCTGCCTCCAGGATTCAAGCGATTCTCCTGCCTCAGTGTCCCAAGTAGCTGGGATTACAGGAACCTGCCACAATGCCTGGCTAATTTTTATATTTTTAGTAGAGACAGGATTTCATCATGTTGGCCAGGCTGGTCTCAAACTCCTGACCTCAAGTGATTCACCCACCTCAGCCTCCCAAAGTGCTGGGATTAAAGGCATGAGCCACTGTGCCTGGCCCACCCTACCTTTTTCATTCAGCTGACACTTGTAGATCTTAAGAGGCTTACCTTTGCATGTAACTTTAGGTTACATTTCCACTTAAAGAACACCTCTCTAATCCACAGCCAATAAAATGTAAGGAATCCAGTTCCATATTTTACAAGAGTATCGTGTCTGTGATGACTCTTCCCTCCTCCACCTTGTCCCCCACTGGGACTTTTTTGGCTGTTTTTCCTGAGGCATAATACTTCAGTCACTCAGGTTTTTGTTTATTTTTACTCAGACCACAAATAACCACATTTATGCATGCAATTCATCAGTTCATTTTACAACAATCTAAAAAAAAAAAAACCACACATGCATCCCATCAGTCAGAGAGTTGTGATAAATTCAGAATTTAAAATTCAGCAAAAACAAATAAAAGGCTCCTTGGCTTTGCAGAGCCGTAGATGTCTACAGGGTGGGTCCAAAGACCAAGGTCCAGGTATATTTACATATTTCTAGTCATGTATGGTTCAGGAGCAACCATCATAAAACATGACCATAACAATCAACCTGTTGAGGGATAAGTTACTTGATAGCATCTGTTAAAAGATACAAACCATACACCAGGTACTATTCTACCCACAGTATATCTACTATTTTACTCCAGTCCATCCTCACAGCAGCCCTATAAGAAAGTTCTAATATTACCTCCATCTTATACATGAATAAACTGAGGCATTGAAAGGACATAGGACTACTCAAGGTCATAGTGGCAGCTCCAGATCTTAAGTCCAGATGGGTTGATTACGGAGCTCCATGCTCTTATCTAAGATGCCAGAGAATTTATATGTAACTTAAAAATTGGCTCTTACGGTAAAGAGGCAGCTCTTTCTTCAAAGAAATCTGGTCAATTATTGTTTAAATGAACCTGTTATAAAGCAAATATCCATCTACCTCTTGAAAAATGAGTTTTGAAAATTCAAATTTTCAAATGGGAGATTTGCTAAAAGTAGAATGAGCTTCTCACCAACTAAGTCTACAGAACATAACTTAGGAAGAGTTGCTGGAAGACCGGCCGACCCAGGGGTTCCCAAACCTGTGGAGCATCAGTGCCTAGACAGATCAATGATTCCAGCAGGAAACATTCTGATTCATCAAGTCTAGGGTGGAGCTCCAAATTCTATTTTTTTAAGCTCTCCAGGTGATTCTGTTGCCTAGCCAGGCTTGGGAACCTCTAATCTAGTCTGTCTTCACAGTTTCAAGCAGGTCCATTTCCAAGGCAAATAGAAATTGATCCCCTATTTTCTATTTCACAATCTCCCTTGGTTACATACACTCAAACCCTTGTGTTCCCAAGCCCTTACTGCCCCAAGTTCTAGCAAACCTCTTTTTCCTTCCTGATTTAATTTGAGGCAATATCCTCTGGCCCTTTCTTCAATAGAGAACCATGAGTCATCACCATTGCATACACCCTATGTCTGCATGACTCTCCAGGCCAGAAAAACTTACTGTACGTGGGAAAATCAGGAAGTTGTAAAATCCAAACAGACACAAAGAAATTCAAGATTCAACAAATACTGGTTCCCCTAAACAAATAGGTCTCTGTTTTGCTACGCACATATTATACTACAACAGTAATCTAAAATGCAAAAACTGTGACTTAAGATATCTGGTAGCATAGCATTCTTAATTGTATTAAGGAAAACTGACAATTAAAATGATGAGGTTCAAGCCCCAATTGGCAATTATCAATCATCGCAAAGTCAAATGAAAGTCTTCATGAACATATAGATTAAACCAAATAGATAGATACTTTAATCGAAGTTTTAAAAAACAATCTTGGCAATTTCTCAACTTCCCACACTATGCCCAAACAGAGTTTGCAAAGAAAATGATATTCAACAGCCAACAAAGTAAGGGAGCATGGCTAGGAGGCAATTTTCCAGGTCAGGACTTTATCCTCAGATGGAAAACAGAGAGCATCGCAAAACTCTCACCTGACATGTGATGCACTTCCCTGTAGTGGCAGTGGAGGAGGAGATTGCTGTACAAGGATGACAAACAAATCTGCAGCTTGAATGGACCACCCTGGTGACTTGATGCACGATGCTCCTGCAATGGTCGAGGGAGTGCAGGAGAGGAAATCCAAAATGAAAAACAGAATAGACTGCTTTAAAAAATAAGTCCACCTTAAGTGTCTATGCACCGAAATACAAATTTTAAGAACATCACATTCGGCATTCTGTTGTATGAGAATTACACAGATCCCAGCCAGCTCAAAAGGCAGGTCTGGTTTTACTCAACAAGGCTCAGAGGGAGGCCAACATACAAAAAGGTCATCCCTTCCATCAAATTAAGAGGATGGTCTCCCCATTTGAGCCAGCCGCTGTCATTCTTTTCTCCAATGATTCTAGCCAATCATCTGATAAACACATGCTGGTAACTACAAGGAGTATCAGGTGAAAATGGGCATGGATTGAATAGTAATTGAGCCAAAGCCTAATTTTAATGTGGCATATATTATCTATCAACATGCAACTTGAAACACAATGATGAAAGTGCACAGCTATTAGCATACCAGTCCAATGGAATAGAAGAAAGGAAAAAATGCAGAAAAAAAGTGTAAAGTGTGCATTTATATTCACTAAACTTTCCACTAAACTTTATTTAAATACTGAATGTACATCTCATTTTCATTTTGCCACAATTCCTTGCACATGGTTAAGTAAAAATTTTCCATTGTATGATGAATGAGTGAATGTGTGAATGGATGAATGAAAGAAAGAATGAATGAATCTTCCATATACCTTTCCATCAGGGAGCTTGGTGCTTGTAGTAGTTTTTGTGAGGTAAAACCTATGCATAGAAACGGAAGAAGTTGAGGACTCGATCTGCTAACGTATTTTTTTAGCCCTATCCATTAAAATTATATTCTTAAATACCGGTAATTACCAATTATCCACATTAAACAGAAAAAAAAATTTTTTTAAAATCAGTAGCAGGGTTACTATAAAATCATCCCCAAACTAGTGAATGCTGGACTGATTTTCAGTCTTTGATTACTGGAGCTGATCTGCACATTTGCTTAGGCTGATTTTAAACTTAGTTTGGGTTTCCTAAGCTCACGCCAGGTAACAGTAGGAAGAAGGAGGCCCAGGTTTATATTGGATGTCAGAAAGAAACTATTCTGGAGCTATGAATATGATCTCCAATGTGAATAATCCGTAAACAGGTAAGTGAGCCAATTATCCTTGGGTACATGGCAACACATCTCGGTACTCATGATTATTTTCATCCATACACACTCACTATTTTTAAGAGCACAGCCCAGCTGGAAAGGAAAATAACTTCCACTTCTTTCCAGCACTTTTCAAAGTAATGAACAGTAGCCAAAATGTTCTTACTTCTAACTAATCCATTCACCAAGCATTTATTTAAGCATTGATTGCCTGCCGAGGACTGATATGCAAAAGAAGGAATTCTTGTAGTCCTTGGTTTCCCCACATGTGATCTGTGCGTACAGAGAAGGAAGGTAAGCTGTTATACACTATAAGGTCTTTCAGATCTTTAGAAGGCACAGTCCCTCCACCAAGAAGCCTGTTGAGTTACAAATATAAATAATGGCCAAGTTAAGTAGAAGTTGACAAAATTCTATTTAATCTTAGTACTTCTTTAAGGATGAGGAAGCAGGGAGGGAGGATCATGATGTCATCTCAAATTAAGCATCAAAATACTTGATTCTCAAATGAGGTGCAGGTACCATAAATTTACAGACAGTGCTTTTTATGAGCTCACCAGTTGGGAGAGTGTTTGCCTATATGACAATGTGTGTGCACACAATCCTGTTTACATATCACCTGGCAGATAAGGTTTTATAGAGTCCAAGTTACAACCTCCTCCTAGTTTGCTGAAGTGCAGAGGAGGGTCAAACATGATGTAAATGCCATAGAAGATTACTTTACTCTTGCATGAGTATGCTTTCTTATTTCAAAAGTATTTGTGTTGCTGCACTAGTTAGGATAATACAGAGAGTTTACATAACTTGTATTCCATCAGAGGGAAGAAGGCAAGAATACAAGCAAGGCAGCACGTATTCACTGCAAAAACTTACAAAATAATATACCAGAAAATAATTTATAGGACATTTTATACAATAATATACACCAAAAATGGAATACTCAATATTTTTAAAACCCAGCAGAGCAACATAATACAATACTATTAATATTGGAAGATTAACAAGAAAGACGGCCTAAACAAAACTGAGGTAATGGTCAGTAAGTACCAGGAGATAATGTGAGAAAGGGGAACAAAATTAAGGGCACAAGAAAATAAAGTTTGCCATACACAGTGACAGAAAAATATATTTTCTTTGAACGTTAGAAGGATAGATGCTATAGGTTAGTAGCTACAATAACTGTCACGAAAAACTTCTGCTACCTAACTCATTCAAAACTTGTCATGTTAAAGGGCACCTAAGTGTAAAAAAAAAAAAAAAGAGTTCCTCTTAGCCCAAATCAAAACATCACAATCGGGGAAACCTCTGCCCTCTTGAGTCTCAAATTCTGAGTACACTACCATGAATTTTCTGGAAAGTAATTTTCAGGTAGGATACAATTTTTGCTTACATTGTGGCAATTATCATTACATTTTCATTACTCCACAAATGGGATGCATTAAAAGTTACAGAAAAATCAATGAAACATTTCTGCTAACATGAAATATGTCAAACAAAATATAATGCTTGTTGCTTTTTTGTCCATAATTGTTCTCTCTAAACGTGTTTTGGTACATTTGGGATGGTAGTAATGCGTAATACAAATATTTATAGTACATTAGCCTGAAAGTTCAAATTATGAGCGTTATAAAATATATTACTACACTAATAAAGACAAATATCCATAAATATAATTATAAAAGAATAAAATAAAAAACTTTCCATAAGATTTGTCTAAAACCATTCTTTTTATTACTTCTGTAATTTTAAGCATTTATATATTTTTAAAAATCTCAATGTAATTACCGTTCTTTCAGCCAACATTTAAAAAATTCTGTAAAACTGACACTGTATATCACTTCTTAAAAAAATTTTGAATGAGTACATTTATTTTATTAAACTAAATTACATGAAAATAAAATGTGAACATAATTGATGACTTAAAATTCTTATCTTAGAAAAGGAAGTTCTATATGTAAGGTCCTAAAACAGAAATTATTATTTCTATTACCATTTCTACAATGTATTGCTTTCAATGCTTTTATCAAAATAAGGAGGGCCTGCTTCTGATAACCTTGGAAGTATGACCAGAACTAAATCTGTTATTTGAAGCAATTAAGCTGCACAGATCTAAATCTCTCACAGAAACTAATCATTCGAACTATTGAATTACTCTGAAAATACAGAGCAAGGAAAGTCAAATAATCTATCTCTCCCCTAAAAATAATAGCCTGTCTTACTTCACTATTGTCACTTTACCGATGCAAGTATTTAAGCTGTTCAGATCCTAATCTATGTGTTATTTTCAGATAACTACAGTTTAAAGAATTAACATTCACTCCCACATTTACCTACTTACGTGAGTTTCAGAATTTTAGTAAAATATGTTTATTGCTTAACTTTTAATAGGAAACAAAATGAGTGTTAGTGTTAGTCATCAGAAACTGTCACTCAAGGTATGTGCAAAAAAGTAAAATCCACTTGACATTTCAGAATGAAAAACAATAAAGGCACAACATTATTCAAAGAAATGTGCGTCCTTGGACTCCATAATGACAACAAAAACAGGAGTCATAGTAATGTTTACTAATATTTCAATAATCTCAGCACTGGCCTTTCCCAGGACTCCTAGGCAACTGACTTAGGTATGTTGAAACTTACAGGCATTTGACATGTAATCTTGTGGCTAAAGAGTTTCTGTTTAATCTTCCTCTAAGTGTAAAAGACAATTCAGAAGTCCTGAAGTCTAGTCGTAACATTTTTGACAAAGTGTCACTTCTGTTTACCAAACCCTCTTAAAACGAAATCCGCAAGGAAAAATATTGCCTTTGGCGGTTCCCACCAGGTACATTTTTTTATACTTATTTTCACATGAATTTATTTGTGCACTGAAAAATATATGTTCACATTTTACTGCAAGTAAAGCATTTTTCTATATGTTGCAAAATAGAATCCAGGACCTCCAAGGCATTGTGTAATATTGACATCCTTGCTTCCCATCTATTTACCACCTTATAAAAGTTGAGTAGCTAGAAGAAATAATAGCTCATTTTAACTACAGCAGTGCTTCATCTGACCAGGCCACAATGAATTTACCAACCACATAAACTCACAAAACGGTAAAAACTCATAAACCCCCTGGGAATAGAGTTGAGTAGCTCTCTCAATCCTAGCCCTGGGGGAAAAAATTTACCAGTTTAGCTTTGTTGGCCATAAAATTGTAAACTGACTGGCAGTCACAACTAAATCAAGACATAATTCTCAATTATCTTTTCTTTCAAATACCAGGGTTATGAAAATACTCCCCCCCGCCCGCCCCCTGCCCCACTTAGTTGGATTGCCTGAGCAGCACAGAGCTTCAGCAACTAAAGCAACTTTTCCTTTTTTCCTTTTTGCCATAATATTATTTCTCTTTGCTTAGCCAGCTTTATCAGTGGTGCCCTAATGCAAAGACTAGAATACTGCTTTCTAACTGCTCACTAAATTACATCCTAAAATAAAGTACATGTTTATTGTCCAAAAGCACCATGCACTATCAGTCCTCTAGCTATAGGCCTCTATCGTTTCTCGCTTAGCTAAGGAAAAAAAAATCCTTTTAACTTACTACCAAAGATCATTCAAATCACAGCCAATAGATCCAAATTAAGAATGAATACATTCAGAATGTCTGCCTACTGTCAGTACCAGTTTTTGTTATGATGGCTGTCAAGTTTTAAAATGTGACAATGGGAATATATTTTCCGAATAAGTTATTCCCCTGAGTAAACCCTTTAGAAATCCAGCCATCGCTATGGGCAATGGAGGTTCCAAATGATGAACGCTCTTCACACTTGAAAGGGTTAAGTGACTGACTGCAAGGCCAAAGGCACCAGACTGCAAAAGAAATGTTGCTTTAGTGAGCTCTGAAAGGTTTCTAACAAGTACCAAATACTTGTTGATCTGTTCACAATAAACACCAGCAGGATTGTCAGGCTCCTTTCACTGTCTGGGGAGATGCATTTACATACTGCACCTAGGAAGAACAGCTTGTTGGTCTCCTTTATAAAAGTTGAGTAGCTAGAAGCCTCATTCAGTGTCTCCCATCCAAATGACTGAAAGAAGATGCAATTGAAATAGTGGAGTCTCTCGTCTGGCTTGGGCAGCATAAATGCTGTGCATAAAACACTTGGAGTAGTTCAGGCACAAGACAAACCCACCTGAATGGACGAGGAACACTGTCTGTTGCCATGGCAGCCTGATCTAATTACATGAGTGATCAGGACTGGAGTAAGTGCACCGAAAACCTACACCACTGACAGGCAGCCAGGAGGTTCAGGGGAGCCCTTCAACCTCTGCTTTATGTAGAAGATGGCATTCAAGTCCATTTATTTGCGGAGCTGCTAAAATATTGACTGATGCATGCACAGTGAGAGGGCAATCAGAGGAGATTAAATGCCACAGCGCTAGCCGTTATGGTGCAATCCCTTTCCAAGAGTTCCTGTGCAGGATTTTCTCTTCTCTCTGGTGGTTTCCTCAGACATAAGCTTCACTCCAAAAAAAGCTCAAGTATCAAACTACCTTTACCCATCAAATAAACCGAAGGGTGGGCTTAAGGGGGGCTTCTAGGAACTGCAGCCTCCTAAAAAACCCAAACAGAAATGTCTCAGCTAACACTGTTGAAAAAGTAACTAGCTGTGCCTAAAAATAACCAAGTAACTACCCACTGCTGTGTGCAATATATAACAATGATGTTTAAATATTAAAAACAGCCTGCATTATAAAACACAAATGTCATTGAGATGTGACTACTAGATTGCCAAAGGAGAACTTATTTGCATACACACATTCCCGTGCATGCACGACAGGATGTGCAGGGAGAAAGCCACTGTAAGGCATTAGTTTTTATTCTGTGGGTGTAATAGGGTCTTCTAATTTTGCTAATTGTATCCTGTGGATCTCGCAGGGAAGCTAAGAATCTCTTCGGGGACAGAACCAGTTTGGAGGAGTCCCTACTGCACAGCATACGGTAAACAAAATAAAAATAGCTTGCCTTTCTTGTTAGCCACATCGCGCATTATATAACCAGCTTCTTCCGACTGTTTTTTTTTTTTTTTTTTTTTTTTTTTTGCCCTTACTACTCTTCAGCAATTTCCCTCTTCTCAAATATTTATATTACCCTTTTATCTGTAGGATTATATACCAAGAAAGCAAAACAAAACAGAGCAGCCACGGGCTCGAACCGAATCCCCGCCGTCCTTAGAAACGGATTTTTTTTTGTTTTGTTTTGTTTTCTGGCAGAGTCTCGATCACCACCCTACTTCCACCCCCACTAAGGTTCTTGCTCAATCTCCCTAGAAAACCTGAATTGTTTCATCCCTTTCAGTCAGCCCCCTACGTGGTCTGAAACAAAATGAAAGCACAAGCCACGGAGTTTAAGAAGGCAGCCTGAAGGCGGGGGGCTGAAGAGGGGTCGGGGCGCTGCAGAGTCAGCCAAGTAGCCAAGGAAGGGCCCCCTCCGCGTCGCGACGGCCCTCGCCCCCCGCCCGGCGCGCGCGCGCACAAATACACACACACAGTCACTCACACACTCACTCACACTCACGCCGCGCTCCGACACCGCCTCACCTCTCGCTCCGCCCGTCCGGCCCCCTTCCCTGCCCCCTGCGGGACCGGCCTGCGCGCAGCACTGGAACCACGTAGGAGGAGGCGGCGGCGCCCCCGGGAGTGGCAGAGTCTCCGGCCCGGCCCAGAGTGAACGAGCAGTGGGGCTCCAGGGCGCATCCCAATCCCCGCAGCGCCTCCTCCGCGGCGGCCGCCGCCTCCTCCTCCTTCCCCTCCTCCTGGCTTCATTCACCCTCCCAGCAGCCGCGCAGCCGTTCACTCCCGGCTCAGGGCAGCGCCTGCCGCGGCTCCTCGTCTCCTGCCGCGGGTGCTGGCGGGGGCGCCGGCCCGGACTGGGGCGCTCGCGGGCTCCCGGCTCCGGGCGGCGGCTGCCGCTGCACATGATCAGGAAGCGGCCGCACCAACAGGGCGGCGGTGGCGGCGGCGGCCAGGGCCGTCACCGCCACTCCAGCCGCGCTCCAGGCACCCGCACACCCGCTACCCCCGCGCGGTCCCCGAGGCCACCCCTCTGCGCCCCCCGCCCGGCACCCGGCCGCGCGCAAAGTCCCGTCCCGGCTGCAGGAGCAGTCCCTTCCCCGCCCGCAGCCGCACACCCGGCGAGGCCGGCCCTCCGAGGGGAGACCCCCGCCCCAGGGCGCCGAGGCCGGGCGACCACCCGCGGAGAAGTCCAGCCCTCCGTGAGACCCCCTCTCTCTCACCGCCCTCTCCGGGGAGGAGGAATGGGAAGAGGGCGGCCGGGAAAGGGACCACCCCCCAACCCCAGCCGCCGCCTCCCCCCTGCGCCACCCGGAGGGAGGAGGACATGGCTCTCCGCACTTGCGACCGGACCAGCAGCCGGGGGAGCGGGGCGCCGCCGCCGCTCTCCCCGCCCGCGCCCCCCGCCCGGGCGCGCCCCCTAGCCCGGCGGGCGCCCACCCAGCCCCTGACAGCCCCCCCGCCGGCCGCCCCTGCGCCCAGAGTGGGGGTGTCGGCCCGGGAGCCTGGAGCCGGGGACGGTTGTATGTACACACATACACACACACACACACACACACGCACACACACAGAACACGACGCGTCGATTTCCTTCGCTCCTCTTCCAGCTGTTTTCCGTGCAGCCGATTGGGGTTTTGGGTTTGTTTGCTGGTTGTTGCTTTTGCCCCTCTCGGGAGATCGGGGGAGGAGGGATTTTAATCTAAATAAGGGGAGAAGGGAATGGGGGAGGGGGGAAAGAATCGGAGGAGGAAAAAAAAATAGTCACTTACTGTAAAGTGTAAATGGATCTGGGGTTGCGTGGGGAAGGGGGGGCAGAGGGAGAGAAACAATGTCTTGCGGCTGCTGTTGCTCTGGCTGCTGCTCCACGGGGCT
This sequence comes from Homo sapiens, assembly GCF_000001405.40. Taxonomy (NCBI): domain Eukaryota; kingdom Metazoa; phylum Chordata; class Mammalia; order Primates; family Hominidae; genus Homo; species Homo sapiens. The sequence goes on from NC_000006.12 coordinate 16,761,401, forward strand.
TGTTTTGGATCCCCCTGCAGTGAAACAGGTCCTGTACGGCTCCGCCACTGTAGTAGAAATGATGTCTGCGGTATACTCTGCTCTCTCCTCCTCCTCCTCCTCCTCCTCCTCCCCCTCCTCCCGCTCCCCTCCCCTCCCTCCTCCCTCCGCCCGCCCGCCCTCCCTCCCTCCCTCGCGCTCTCTCGCGCTCGCTCGCTCGCTCGCTCCAGTATGTAAATGTGTAATAGAAGCCAAATATGGAGCAGTTGGCTGCCGCCGCCGCAGCTCAAGGATCCGACTTCATGGGGGTGGGGGGCACCCTCTGGCGGGCGGCCCGGCGAGCCGCACAGAGCACGGCGAGCGCACCGCGCGGCGGCCGGCCCGCGCCCTTAACCCTTCGCTGCGCGCCGCCCGGGGAGGCGGGCACCTTTCCCAAAGAGTGGCTCGGGATGGGGTGCGGGGGAGGGGAGACGCGGACCGGAGGGCAAGGTTCCTTCCAGGTTTGGGAAGGGGGCGGGGAGCTGGGCGATGAGGTAATTTGAGCGGTGACGGGTCGGTCCTCGCGCGCCTCCCTGGGTCCCTGCACCTAGTTGGAGGGGACTGAACGACAACGGGGCGCTACTCAGGCAACCTGGGGGACTCCCCCAAGGGCTGTCAGGCTTCAGCTGGGAGCCGATGCAACACCCCAGCGGGGAGGGGAGGTCGGCCCATTCTAATCCCGACGTGTCCTTGGTCCCAGGCGCTCGGAGCAGCATCTGAGAGGGCTCACTCTGATCATCAGCTGCACGTTAAGCCACAAACCGGCGTCGCTTCGGCGTTCCGGAACCCAGGCCTGGGGGCCGCGGGGATTGCCTCTGCGTGCAACTCCGGAAAGTTTCAAGGGGTCCCCCGACTGCACAGGTACCCTCACCTTTCCTGCCGGCGAACGCTGGCGACCGCCCGACCCTGCCCTCTTTCTCTCTTCGCACGCAGGTCCGGAAATCGGCTTTGATATGGAACTACTCCGCTCTAGCCTGGAAAGGAGACCCGCGCACTCCTCTCGCAGCTAATTTCGGATCATTAATTTAATCGGAAATGAGGTAACCAGTGTAGGAGACAGAGAAAGCAACCGGAGCATCAAATGGCAGTTCTCGAGAATCGACGAGGAACTTAAATCTGGACTCAGGGTTTCAGTGCGGTCTCCGACTCCCACCACCCCGCCCCTCCGCCTGTCTCGCCGCCAGGTGTGACCTCCACGCGAAGGAATCTTCTTCGGATGGGTGCACCTTGCCAACAGGTGTGGCACCTGGAGGACTAGGAGGCGCCTCCAGACTAAGGGCGCTCAGTGCGGCGTTCTTGTTGCAGATGATTCTGGAAGGCCGGTAGGTGTCGGGCGACATTTGACCTTCTTCAGGTGCTTAGAACTAAGTGTCTGGAAACATGATCCTTTCGCGTAAGTTTCTTTCTGAAAGCCACCAATCTTGACTGTAAGCTGTATTTGAGAGATCTTTTGGCTGAGTTTACTTATGACCTAACGGTTAGTCACCAACTGAGGCAGGGCACAGGATGACCAAAAAAAAAGTGTCAGTTTTTACACAACTCTGGCCTGCAAGAGCCTACGTGCTTCATAAATAAAAATAAACATACGAGCGAGGAAGGTGCAGAGCCCCGGAAATATTTTTTTCTCACATTTTTGAAATACCATGCACATATATGTGGCTATTTAAGTATAACTACTAGTGTTCACTCTTACTCATTTCTACAACTTTTTTTTTTCCATTTAAAAATCGATTATTGTTACGGTTTAAACCTCGGGTTGGTCTAAAGTGACATTGTTGGTCTCATTACAGCCTCTAGTGGACAGTTAACATCAGTTTCCTGAAAAGGCTCTGACTGGTTTTGTTTTCGTTGACAAGCTTTGTCAAGGTGAAGGTTAGTACGTAAGAGCATAACCGGGTAAAATGTCCCCTCACCCCTATCCTCACCCCCGCCCCCAACACCCTGCTTGGCAAAGACGACTTCAGAAAGGAGCAGAAGCTTGTTGGCTTTATATAGAAAAGACGTATGCTTTGTGCTGCAGGTATTATTATTACTGGACTGTGAATAAACAGAAAGCTTCTGCTATTCATTTCAGTTTCAGACAGCTTTCATAAAAACTAAATTCATCTCAAATATTTTTATAACAGAAAATATTGGTTGCCATGTTTTTGGCTTAACTGCGATGTTTTTATTCCAACTCATAATCTGCAAACTGTCCAATCCACCTCCACTCTATTTTTAGACATCTTACATTTAGATAATTTTCAGTTAAAAAAAAGCTAATATTGTAATTTTACGTTGGCACAAGCAGTTAATTTACGTGATTTTAACAACCTTAAATTAAAACACATAATTCAGATTACAGTTAGTCAATTAATTTAAATGTTCTCTCAAGGAAGCTAAATATGTATATTACCCAAATGGTAAAAACAATTAATAAGAAATGTGTCATTTACTTTCTTAGCCATTAAGTTTAAAGCCATAAACTGCCACCAAAATCTGTAACTATTTCTTCCTGCAAGATCCAACATAAACACCATACTCATGAAACTGTCTCATTACCTTTAGTACTGAAATATTTTGTTTTCAGATGGCAAAATATTAAGTGTACAATCACAAATAACAGGCACTGATTCTTTAGAAACAAGACTTTCTCGTGCAAATAAAAACTCAATGAAAAAGGGCAGAGCTTCCAAGAAGCTAGTAGACAAATATATAGTACTATAGTCCTACTCATAAGGCTGGTGTTATGTTTGTAAAAGCATAAGTCAACCTTTGAAATTACAGGAAATCGATAAATAAGGCCTGATGAGCTTGACTCGTATCCTGTGTCATAGATTGCTTAAATACCATGAAAAATAATTGTAATCACATATCTATTTTACTGTTTTGGTGGTATCTACTCTTGAAGGTGTTAAATGGGCCAGCAAGTATATATTATATAATTACATATTACACCCTTACTTAAAGTGTAGTTTTCAAAGTCGCCACAGCAGCACTTGGGAGCTTTTTAGACATTCAGAGTCAAGGGTTCTACCCCAGACATACCAAATCAGAATCTGCCTTTGAACCAGGCCCCTGGGTGATTTCTAAACACATTATCATGTGAAGAACACTGGTCTATACCACAGGGATCAACCTAAATAAATTTGGGCACAAGTGCAGAAGTTAATTCCTCTATTTATTTCTTTTTTGCTCCTTTTTAGTAAGTACAGCCCTTATTAATTTGTGCTTTTCAATGAAAAATTATTATGTTATATGCTTTGGATAAATACTACTGCACTGTAAGTGCACACATCTGCATCATTATTGCCAAAAAAGAATGCTCTGCTGAGGAATGTACTGGGGTCTTGAACATGAACATTTTCTTCATGGCAGCAGAGGGAGCACAAGAGTGCTTAATAAAACCAGTGCACAGGTCTCTCCAAATCATGACAGATTTTACATTGTAGTATATGTTTTCATTGGAAGTAGCCTGTTATGTAGTTCAAAATGAAGCAAATCAACTGAGCAAACACAGATAGGCTTACCAGGTCATAACAACTATGTAACTGAACAGATTGAAAGTTGAATAAAATAAAGATAAACTTCTTTAGAGTTTTAGGCTTGAATTCTTAAAAGAAAGTGGACCTCAAAAGTGAAAAAGATGCCTTAGCTTTGCTCAAAAACAAAGATAACACAACACAGAATCAGGCAACCCTAAGATGCCTTAGCTTTACTCAAAAACAAAGATAACACAGAATCAGGCAACCCTAATAGTAGCTCCTGTTTATCTAAAAACAGAGTCAGTTCACTGGACCCTACATCAGGTAACTTAATTTCATTTGGTGTCATACATGTTGGTTAAGGTCCATGCGCCTTTTGCTGTGTTTACACTCAGAATAATTTTAGGGGTTTCTCCTTAATGCTTGCAGTGGTGAGGATTTAGGTTTCAGTTATACCTACGTAGTATTTCATACTTTTCACTACTCTTCCATATTGCATCCTCAAAAACTCCCTTGAAGCAGATAACATACTTGGTAAAAGCCAAGTATCCAAAAAGTTATGGAACCACATCGTGCTTTCATAACATTGAGTCATTTAATTGTTTCAGTAGTGCTTTGAGGTATTCATAAATGAGGGAAATTATACAGACTAAAGATCCAGAGCATTTTTTACAGTTTTAAAGGTTTTTCAAAGTTATTCTTAGATAATATGTTTATATATTTATTATTTATTTACAAGCAGTCACTTACTCTGCATCTACAATAACTAAGACTTGAGAATATAAAATTGAGTAAGACATCTTAGTGTGCAAGGAGATCAGAGCAGAACAGATCTTACCTTTGGAAAACTGTTAATTTTTACCACGTTGAAACACAAAGATTCATAGTTGATGCGATCCAGCACCTGCCAGAATCATAGCAATCAGACTTCCAAATATGAGAATCAAACATTAGAATCATTAAAAATTTGAGAGGCGGGGGGGACAGTTGTACAACTCTTGAGCAAAAGTTGACTTATAAGCTAATATTAATATTTCAAATTTGTACGACAAACAAATGTGAAGATATAATGTGTATTTTATTTGAATGTCTTCCCTATCACAAAATCACATGAGTAAGTTGAGTTGGTAAACATTTATTTATTTTTATCTTTTCTAAAATGCTGAAAAGAATTTTTCTCCCACACTAAAGAGGGTTTGCCAAGTTTCTGCCTGGAGCAATTTGTTATGGCTGTGTAATAAATCCCAGAAAGTTTGAATTTTTAATGGAAACACTGACAGAATAAAGAGGGTGTAATCCTACATATGTCATTTAAAAATCTGAGCAAACCATAGTGTGCTTGCAAAACAAATATACTTTCCTTAGATTGCACTCACAAATAAGGCTGGGGAGACCACAAAAGTAAAACAAACTCAAAAGTGAAAAACACTCACACAATAGACTCTGAGGTCAGCTCACCACACCCAGACTAAAGTCACTGGGCTCTGTGCGTGTCACCAAGACTCTTAAAAGACATACTTCTGAATCATCTTTCTTGACCCTCCACCAAACTGTAGCAAGACAGGCTTCCTGGGAATGAAAATGACATTAGCATTAGTCAAGAGTGAAATTAAAGTCATTGTACTCAAACATCTGCCAACAGTCTGTGATTTCATAGTACCCACCTCTGAAATAAGACTCTGTCTACAATTAAAAACAAAGAAAAAAAGGTACTTTAGGTCTTCACTATCCACTATGTCTACTGAGCACTTGAAATGTGTGATTAGTCCAAATTAACATGTGCTGTAAGTGTGAAATATTCCTCAGATTTTAAAAACTTGGTATAAAAAATACATATTTTACATATAATATATATTATTCATTATTCCTATATTATTAATTTTATGTATTATATATACACACATGTAATATCTCCATTTTTACATTGATTAAATGTTGAAAATATTGGGTTATTTTTTAATAGTGTACATTGGGTTAAATAAAATATATTATTAAACTTCATTTTACCTGTTTCTTTTTACTTTTTTTTTTGAGACAGGGTCTAGGTCTGTCACCCAGGCTGCAGTGCAGTGCAGTAGTGCAGTCTCTGCTCACTGCAACCTCCACCTCCTGGGCTCAAGTGATCCTCCTACCTCAGCCCCTGAGTAGCTGGGACCACAGGCATGCGCCACTACACCCAGCTAATTTTTGTGTCTTTTGCAGAGACGGAGTTTCACCATGTTACCCAGGCTGCTATTGAACTCCTGGGCCTTGGCCTCCCTAAGTGCTGGGATTATAGATGTGAACCACCACGCCCAGCCTCTTTTTACTTTTCTTAATGTGGCTACTATAAAGTTTCATATCACATGTGTGGAAGGGTTATATATTTCATTTCTAATGAACAACACTGATACAGATATTGGGGCTGAGGAGGCACAGGAATTGGTTCTAAGAACCCAGTTTAAGATCTTAGACTCCCAGCATGGCTCCCTGCAGTGGTGTGGTAAATAACTTATTTTTCTGCCTTCCCCATGTTCCCCCCTTACACTGTGTAACACAGAACTTATCCTACTCTGTTATAATGATCACTGAGAGTAGACTGTCGGTGAATGCGTGATCTCACTGGTAGATCTGTTACAGGCCTGCAAAACAAAAATTTGTTAGGCTTATCTGTGACTCAGTCTTCTCAAGCTCTGGTACCTTGTCACCCTGGGAGGCTGATGGAAAACCTATGCTCTGTTTTCGAAAGCACAAGCACAAGCATCCTAGAGTTACAGCTGGTTTTGCTGCTTGTGGCTAAATGGTTTGGGGCCGATACTTTCTAGTGACAGATGGCTTTGGACATTGATAATGAAAATTATATAATTTGTTGCTTAACTAAAAAACATCAAGGCCATCAAAAGGAAATCTGTTTAAAAAAAAACTTTCTAATATATTTAGTACCATAGGATACTCTGAAAAGAAATGATTATTTTTAACCATCATTGTTTATTTTGCAAGCAAGACCTAGATAAATTTTCATCAATGCAGCTCTGACCAAGATTGAATATAAGGCAAGTATCATAATTTATGGTCTTAGTCATCTAAAGAACATAGCTCTTCTTACATGGAAAGAAAACAGACAACATTTTGAGGCTTAGAATGAATGAGTTGAACTTTGTTTGGTATTGGCCAGGAGCATTTGGAAATTTATTAAAAGCATTTCATTAACAACTTGGCATTTTGTTTCCTCAAAAGAAATACATTTTCCAAATTTAAATCAAAGCCAGAACCACCATTTTTTGAACTGAAGGTAGTGGCAGCTGATGGTTTGTGCCTGTTAAGCTGAGGGTGCCTTCGGAATAAGATCATGGGCAACAACAGGCTGCAAAAATAAACATCAAATTTTTATGGAAGGAGTGAAGCAGTGTTCTTTGTTGTTCTAACTTGATGACATTAAAATATGTGGCTATAAGCTCTCTTAGTTACTTTATTTTTCTTGAGTCAATATTGGCCAGGAGAAGCTGATCTGAATGAGGGTCAGAGGTTAAGAAAATTATTTTATGAGGAATTTACCAAGTTTACCCCCGAAGAGGGAGAGTTAGAGAAAAATGCATTGGCAAACTTTGCTTTTTGACATAAATAACTAGAATTCACCAAGGGAACGGCCTGTGTCAGGGTTTCAGTGAGGGTTGTCAGGCAGTTTGATATTTGCAGAACCCCTCTCTGTCAGGCCTCTCCAAAGTTTAACTGCTAGGAGATCTGGGAAGCTCTCAAGACTGGCGACTGAAGATACTGATTTGCTTTGTGTCTGAGACACAGGCATAAAACGATGGCTACTGCCACAGATGCTTTCTGACAGAGCAGAATAATAGCACTCAGACTTAAACTGTACATTACAAACAATCCCTTTTTAAGTACAAAATGAATGCACAGAATGGAAGACCCTGTCAGCTAGAATACAAGTAAATCAAGTAGAAGAAGACAAATTATTCACTCATACCACTACAGCCAAATTTTTATTCTGCTAACTGCACTGTCATGAGAGAGCTTTTCTTCTTTGTCAGATGTTAATATTTATGCCTAGTGTTCCATTATCGGAACGCTAAGCATGTGGGAGTTATTTATATCCTACTGCTCGAGGTCATCGCCAAGGTCTGATTGCAAAAATTCAAAAAATTGCAACCATAAATGGGTTAAGAAAATCGATACATCATAGTTATTACAAATATATGAGGCACTGGATGCATTTCCTCTGAGAGCCAATCAAATTACAGGATATGTTTCCTAACTCCCCACACCTATTCCAGTTTAAAAGTTGTAGCTTGAGTACCAGGAGTAAGAACACGTGAACCCTTCACTCCCAGGGCTAGCTTTTCCTGCTGTCAATTTCATAATTATATTGCTCCGCCCCTTGGCTTAGCACTTCCTTTCCCCTCACTACCTTCTCACCCCAACCCCCAGCAATGAATCATCAGGCCTTTAAAGAGACTTAGACGACCCAGTGTGAACTTCGCTGGCATCCTGTACATTCTTATGCCAAAAAAGGGGAGTTGCTCTAAGACAGAAACTAGCCAGACCCTGATGCAGATCTTGGAGGCAACAAGCTTGGGTGCTTATCTGGGAAGATCAGCGAGGAGTTAATTTTCCTAGATCGCAATGGTGATTCAGAATTGCATATCTTAGTTCATGATTGGGTTTTTAAGAACCCAGTTCGACCCTTTGTACAGAAAGGAATATATCAAAGGGAAAAATGTTGGCAGATCTCCTTATGCAATCAGGGCAAAGGAATTTATACCACATTCAACTCTTTGATTTCTCCAGATCTGGCTGAGGGTGGGGTTTCCATATTTGTGCTTTGGCAAATGTGTCCAATAATTAACTCCTCCTGATATATGCCCCTAGTGTTCTTCCAGGTTATCATGTGCTTATTTGTGCATTTATTAAAACCAGAAACATTTTTGCCCCTTCATTGTTTAAATACTGTGTCTGAGTAATACAGGTTAAATAGACAACAAGAGCCTTGCCTTTTAAAGACTTTACTCCCCACCTAAAGAGGTGAAGGAGATATCATTTAAATAACATTATGCGTGTGCATATACCTTCTATATGGAAAGCCCTTTCTTCTCCTCCCTCCTTTTTTTTTTTTTTTTTTTGCATGGAGATTTTATCCTCATGCTTTTGAGATCCGGCTCAAGCATCAACACTTCTGTGAAGTCTTTCTTGATTATCACAGGAGTCTGCGGCTCTGCCCAATGTGTGAGTCAGAGAAGTGCTATTTTCTTATTCTTTTTATTTATACAATATTTTTTTAAACCTCTAACCGAAAAAAACAGGGCCATAAGCACAGATGGAGAGAGTATCCTAAGTGGGAGCTCTCTTACTTGAATACTTCCTGCTACTCCCAAACCCATTTGACCTCCCTTACAGTTTCAGCGTGCAACTGCGCTTCCTTTGTTTATGCTCCAATTATGTGACTCCCCTCCACTGATCAGTTTTTCATGTAACTTTCCACTGCCCTCTGTTATGAGTTGAATTGTGACCCCAAAAGATACATCGAAGTCCTAACCCCAGTAACTATGAGTGTAGCCTTATTTGGGAGTAGCATTTTTGCAGATGTAATTAGTTAGGATGAGGTTTTACTGTTTTAGGGTGGACCCTAAATCCAATGCAACTGTTGTCCTCATAAGAAGAGAAGACACAGAAACAGAGGAGACACAGGGTAGATGACCATGTGAAGACAAGGCAGAGACTGGAGATATGCTGCCACAAGCCAGGGAATGCCAGGGATTGCTAGCAACCACCAGAAGCTAGAAGAGGCAAGGAAGCCTCCTCTCCTAGAGCATTTAGAGAAAGGATGGCCCTGTTGACACCTTGATTTCAGACTTCTAACTTCCAGAACTGGGAGGGAATAGATACCTGTTGTTTTAAGCCACCCAGTTTGTGGTACTTTGTTATAGCCATCCTAGGAGACGAATGCACCCTCCTTATGAGATCCATGATTCCAGGTCTGTTGGATTCTCCTTTCTTCTCTTTATTTACGTATATGGCCCTACCTCTTCCTGCTGCAGATACTCCTAGGTAATCTGTTCTGGATGTACTTTTGGTCTTGCACCTATGACAATACCAATAAACAAAGAAAAGGTCTAATGGAATAGAAAACTTACAGAGTTCTAGAACCGCCTCCTCGTCATCCCAGAAAAACATCTGGCTTCTGGCTCCAGGCCTCAGAGAGCACAAGTACATTACACTCCTGCACGGGGCGTCAGCTGGTGTCGGCGTCCTCCTCGGCCCTCCTCAGCTCCCTCTGCTGGGCGCCCGATGCACCAGCAGCTTCCCTCTTCAGAAGTAGTCTTCCAGCATGTGGGTGGGGTTGGGGTGAAGAAGAGACCGCAAAAACTAAATTAATTTGATATTGAGGAAATACAATGCTAATTGTTTGGCTTTCTTTTACTGTCTATTTGAGTGTTATCAAAGTGCTTATGAAGACCTTGGTCTTTCTGATTCTCCTTTTTCAAAAAACCAAAAAAAACCGAGAAGCTCATTTGTTTCAGGAAGTTTCCCTGAGCGAGTGGAAGGGGAGGCCTCACACTGAAGCCAGAATACAAAGGAAGTCCTCTTGAGATGGATAAAGCAGTTCTTACATGCAAATCTCAGAAAATGGCAACTCCATCTTTCCACCTGTTCAAGCCCAGAACCGCTGGCAGTGTCTTGACTCTCTCGTCAGACCCCACATCCAATTTGCCAAAAATCCAGTTAAATCTACCTTCAAAACATATCCAGAATCTGACCATTTTTCAGCCCTGGGACTGCTACCACTGGAGTTAAACCACCACCGTCCTTCGTCAGGGTTACTGCGACAGCCTCCTAAATTGGCCCTTACTTCTCCAGTTACCGGCCCACACCAGTCTACTGCCTGCATTAGGTTGATGCCACAGCTCTGCTCAGAGACCAAGGGCTCCCCCAAGGTCAAGTAAAAGCCCTTCATGGCCTACAAGGCTGGCCTCGATCAGGTCCTCAACTTTTCTGATCTCATCTATCCCTGTCCTTGCTCCCACACTGCCAGCCTCACTGTCCTCTTTGCTGGTCCTCAAATAAGCCAGCTGCTCTCTTGCCTCAGGGCCTTTGTATTAGCTGTTCCCTCGGCTTGGAATGCTTTTCCCTCTTGTGTTCGCATGGCCCACTCCTTCATCTTCTTCAGGTTATTTTTTCTAAGAATCAACCTCCTAGTGAGGCCTGCTGTGAACACCCTACTAAAAATTCTACTCCCTCACTTTCCCGATCCACCTTGCCCTGCTCATTTATCCCATAAATGTGTTGCTTTATAACATTCTATGTCATCTACTTTGTTTGTTTGTTTATTGTCAGGAGGGCAGAGATTTTTTTTTTTTTTTGTCTGGCTCATTCATCTAGAATAGTTCTTGGCACATGATAGACACCCACTAAATAGGCATTGACTATTAAATGAATTAATCAGTAATGTTTTCCAGAACCTACTATGTGCAAAGTTCTGTCAGCCCCCAACACAATGATTATCTCATTAGGAGCTAATCCAAAACTAATCCATCTGGTCCACACTATGGTATAATATATGTTCTCTTTACTTGACCTTTGCCTTAGTGTCTGACATGACTATTAAAGCTGAGTTGGAATGAACTGAGTCTCACACTCAGGCTTTGCAGATGTCATTTCATTTCATCCCCATGATGATACTGTGAGATAGAGATCATGATTCTCACTTATTAGGTGATTAAACTGAGGCTTGGAGTTTAAAGGACCTGCCCAAAGTTCAGGGTCACCCAGCACTGGTTTCAAAGTGAAGTTATCCACCTATGCAGCTTGAGAATTGTTAACAAGTCATTACCTGAATGAAATAGGACAGTTACAGTCATAACACTGCATTGCAATGTTTTGGCTAAGGGACCATTTTTAATCCAATCTCTAGTTTTTGGATTATACATGAATTGTGAATAACACCTGTATCCCAGAAATTAAAGCTAGTGATGCTCATTGAGAACTGAGTATTTCTCCATAAGCGAATTGGCTTCAGATCAACCTAAGTGGTTTCCCAACTAACAGAACTCTATTCCAGCTTATAATTTTTACTCATGCTGCTACATGGGCTGGAAATGATTCTCACTTGAGGTTCATGCTTGAATCCCTAGAACCCTTTCCTATTAAAGTCCTGTCTAAAGTATCCCATTACAGTAAGGACGAAGGAGATCGTAAAGGGCCAACATGAATTCTCAAGGCTAATTTAATGACTTAATTTCCTTCAGTTACTCTGGGCTGAACTTCTCCTGTTCTACCCGCAAGCTTCCCAGAGTCCTCTGTGACCAGAATCGAAGCATAGTGTCTGAAAGTAGCCTGGCCACACAAGATGTGCAAAACACTGTAACCTCTTCACAGCCTCACTCCACTTTGTATTTGAGGGAAATGATTCTAGAAGCTGAAATAGACCAGAGTTCAACAGTCTGGGAAATTTGAAGAAGAAAAAAGGAAGAGAAAAAAAAAAAAAAAAAAAACCAAGCCCTGCATTTGCAGAGATGTGAAGAGAACCCAGCTCTCTGAAGTTGGAAGGAAGTGAGAAGACCCTATTTGTGGCTGCAGGAGAGGAAAAGAAAAGAGACCCGCAAGGAAACTACCAACAGATGGTAAATACATTTTTAATTCTTCTGTCATACTGTGTGGACTTGTGCACATTTGTCCTGCTGTGTTAGGCTCCCGAAATAGCTAGCCATGGAATTGCAGAACAGTTCTGCTGCAATTTGAGATTTAGGAAACCATGCTAGCTGACAAAACAGGAAGGGCTCATAGTAGGATGGAGTGGATTTGCTCCCAGTTTGCAGCTCCTCAATGTGGCATCTGCTGTCATTCTTAGTGCAGGAAAATTCTCTCACATGTCAGGTCTCATTGGTGATGTTTTGCAACATACTATCTCAAATTGCCCCCCGAGCCCTAGTTATAATTATTAAATGTTGACACTATGCATATAACTCCCAAAGATTAAAGAGAGTGAGGTCCATTGATTTATGAATCCTGAGTCCTCCAGGGAACATCACAAACACACATGGCAGCCCAGATCTCTTCACCTAGTCTTCCTCATACTTTTGGTATGAGGTTGCTCTACAAGAACCTAAAGAGGTAGGACACAAAAGCACATTCAGTTGACTCCACATCTGAGAAGTGACCAGTGATTGGTACCAGGAATGAGTTAGGTTCCCAACCCCAACACCATCTCTCAGTGCATCTGCAAAAAAAAACCACAAGTGTCAATTAATCTAACTGGATGCAGGATAATGAGGAGAGGGTGGCCTATTAATTATAGTGTGAAAATATAGCTATATAATGCCATTTTATTAGAACTGGAAAGATCCTTACAGAATCTAGTTCAATTATTTTTTTTTCATTTTATAGACAGGAATCTGGGCCAAAGAGTTGCAGGAAATTGGCAAAGATCATACAACTAGTCTGTGGCAAATTCAGTACTGGAACCTAAGACATCTCCCTCCCAGTCCTGTGTTTGTTCTCCTCTAGTCCTCATAGAAGGTGGACACTGCTGTGATGAGCAAAATCCAATTCTAGAAGATTTTGATCATGGCAGCCCGCACACTTGGGTTCTTATAAAGTGAGATGATGGCATTTCTGTCTGGTCTGTAGATGTTTGGGAAACTGGTTGATATTCTTTACAAGTAAGATTTCAAGCTAAAATAGATTTGTTAATTTCTGTCCTAACCCCCTGTGGATTGTTTCTAGATTATATAGCTACCACACTATTTGGCACAGCTGGGATCCTCTTTTCATGAAATAGCAGGGAAGATTGGTAGATAAGGATTAAAAAGCACTGGCAGAGGAGACAGGGAGACTTACACAATTACTTCCTACCCAGTGCCTTCCTGGTCTAGGAACTTCTTCCAGCCTCTTTTGGAGAGAGAGGTAAGTGGGAGGAAAGGGGATTTTTATCTTTTTAGTAAAAGAAAGGATAACAAAAACACTTTAGCACTGCTCAATTTGATGAAATCTTGATTTCACATAGTTTAAGTTTCTACCAGACTAAATATATTCTTGTTCAAAATAACATATATATTCATAGATAACTTTTCCAGTGGATACATATGTAGTTCATTAATAAAAACTCTTCTCAATCAGCTATTTTAAAAAGTGTTCTTTCCTGTTTTCTAGAAAGTTAATCGGTAAGCTCCTCAATAGCTGGTTTGGCAGTAAGGTCTTAAATTTTGCAATTTTAGTCAGCATTTTGCTTTGTTGTTTTGCACATAATTTCAGCAACATTTTATGCTATTTTTTTTGTTGTTGTTCTTTTTGAGACAGTGTCTCACTCTGTCCCCCAGGCTGGAGTGCAGGGGCATGAGCATGGCTCACTACAGCCTCAACCTCCTGGACTCAAGCAAACTTCCTGCCTCAGCCTCTCAAGTAGCTGGGACTACAGGCGTGCACCATCACACCCCGCTAATTTTTTTTCTTTTTTGCAGAGATGGGGGTCTCACTATTGTTGCCCAGGTAGGTCTCAAACTCCTGGGCTCAAGCAGTCCCCCTGCCTTGGCTTCCCTAAGTGTTGGGATTACAGGCCTGAACCATTACACCTCGCCTTATCCTATTTTTGTGGCGGTAAAAAATTATACTTGTTAGATATACACATGGAATTCTTTGTTTTGAGAATTAATTTGATCATTTTGAATATTCTTAGGAATTCACTGTCTACTTGATCATGGTGGATAAGCTTTTTGATGTGCTGCTGGATTTGGTTTGCCAGTATTTTATTGAGGATTTTTGCATCAAAATGTGGCACATATACACCATGGGATACTATGCAGCCATAAAAACTGATGAGTTCATGTCCTTCGTAGGGACATGGATGAAGCTGGAAACCATCATTCTCAGCAAACTATCGCAAGAACAAAAAACCAAACACCCCATGTTCTCACTCATAGGTGGGAATTGAACAATGAGAACACATGGACACAGGAAGGGGAACATCACACACCGGGGCCTGTTGTGGGGTAGGGGGAGCGGGGAGGGATAGCATTAGGAGATATACCTAATGTTAAATGATGAGGTAATGGGTGCAGCACACCAACATGGCACATGTATACATATGTAACAAACCTGCACATGTACCCTAAAACTTAAAGTATAATACAAAAAATTTTTAAAAAGAAATTCACTGTCTATCTCCATGATCTAGTAATGGAATGGGGGTGGAGGAGGGTAAGAATTATCTTAAGTGAATTATTTTCAGTAGAGCAGTAATGAAGGCACACTTTAGGTTATTTCATTCCTATGATCCAAATTTGATTATCTAGCTAAGATCACTGGGGGCATTTGAAGCTTTAATAATTACAGCTCAAGGCCTCAGGAAAAAAAAATTACGTTTACTACACATTCACACAGCTTTTCAGAGAGTTGCCAAATGAGGGCTGATTTAAAAAATAGATTGATATCAAGATTCCATTTTGAGAGTTCAAACTCTGTTGACATAAAAACAAACGCTAGATTTAAACAATTGTTTTGTGTAGAACAGTTAAACATTGTTTATTTGAAAGAGTAAAAAACATAAGCTATTGATTTTACCTTTCCTTTTGGAAGACAGCTTTAGGATTTTTCCCCTAGAAAGTTTTGAGGCCAGGATTTTTACTACAAGTGCCGTGTTCCCTGACGTGCCAGCACAGCTTTGAAGCTGTCTCAGCTTCTAGGTCAAAGGCTCCCTCCCTGTGGCCAGATGCCAGTCTTATCCTTAGACTCCCATGAGCTTCAGAAATAAATCAACTTTTCAGTAAAATCCACTGACAGCTCTGCTTTACATAAAAGCATGCGGCCTGAGGATGTAATGCAGTTTTGCATTTTAGGTGGATAAGAAAAGAAAGAAAGCATCCCATATCACTGAGAGACCATTTCAAATGGAGTTGCCATTATGAAAGCCAAGGGGTGGCTTGGAGGTATTGCACCCACTCTTCCTGCAGCCTGTCCAACCCCAGCACATAGTACTCACACAGCAGAAAACCACTGTAGTACAAATGGCTCTACAGTGTTCTCATCCTTGTATAGCACTGGTTAGTAACATCCATGAATTGAAGAAGTGTTGAGCAGGTCAGCACCCTGAGGCCAAAATTTCCTCCTTGTGGTGAGAAAAGAAACAAATGAAAAAATTCCTCTCCGTACAACAATGCAAAGTAATCTCACAATGTTGGAAAATACAAAAGAGGCAAGACATAAAAGAAGGCTTGCTATACTGTTCCATTTGTACAAAATTTAAAAATATGAAAAACTAATCAATCATGTTACACTAATTATACTTGTTTACCTTTGATGAAGAGAGAGGATTAGGATTAGAATGGGACATGATGATGGCTTCTAGGGTGCTAGAAAGTTCTATCTTAACCTGGGTGGTGGTCACAGAGGTGTGTTCACTTTGTGACAATGCATTTAGAATAATGCTATTCTAAAACATTAGAATAGGGCTGGGCGCGGTGGCTCATGCCTATAATCCCAGTACTTTGGGAGGCTGAGACGGACAGATCACTCGAGATCAGGAGTTTGAGACCAGCCTGGCCAACATGGTGAAACCCTGTCTCTATTAAAAATACAAAAATTAGCGGGGCATGGTGGCGGGTGCCTGTCATCCAGCTTCTTGGGAGGCTGAGGCAGGAGAATCGCTTGAACCTGGGAAGTGGAGGTTGCGGTGAGCAGAGATTGCACCACTGTACTCCAGCCTGGGTGACAGAGCAAGACTTTCTCAAAAAAATATACAGCACTTTTGCATAACTAAACTAATAGATATTGAGAAAAACCGAAAATTAAGACAAGTTCAGGAAAAAAAAATGACACCAAACCCCATGGTAGGGCAGTGGAAACTCTCATGCCTGGATCCAGGGAATGCTCATTGCAATTATTCTTCTTGGTTAACTGTTTGGCATTATCTACTGAAGTTGAAGACACGCATATTCAGTGATCTGGATTTCCACCCCTGGGTAATATCCAAGAGAAATATGTACACATGAGAACCAGAAGAACAGCAACTCTATTCATAACAACCCTAAACTGAAAACAAGTCAAAATATCAACAGTAGAGAAGATAAATAAAATGTCATATATCCAAACTTGGAATACTATACAGCACTGAAAACAAATGAACCACAGTACTCTCACAACATGGATGCAACTTAAAAATTAAATGGGCCAGACATGGTGGCTCATGCCTGTAATCCCTGCACTTTAGGAAACTGAGGCAGGAGGATCTCCTGAGGTCAGGAGTTCGAGGCCAGCCTGGCCAACATGTTGAAACCCCATCTCTGCCAAAAATACAAAAATTAGCCGAGCGTGGTGGTGGGTGCCCGTAATCCCAGCTACTCTGGAGGCTGAGGCAGGAGAATCACTTGAACCTGGGAGGCGGAAGTTGCAGTGAATCGAGATCGCGCCTTTGAACTCCAGCCTGGATGACAAGAGCAAAACTCTATCTCAAAAAAAGAACAAAAAACAAAAAATGGTGAGAGGCAAAAAATCATATGCTTCCATATACGTACTTAAAGTTCAAAGAGTAGAAAAAATATATAGTATTCAGCCCTATACACTTAGGTGTTGAAACAATAAAAGCAAGGTCTTGCTCTGTCGCCCAGGCTGGAGTGCAATGGTGTGATCACGGCTCACTGCAGCCTCAACTTCCTATGCTCAAGTGATCCTCCTGCCTCTACCTCCCAAGTAGCTGGGACTATATAGGCGCATGCCACCATGTCCAGCTAATTTTTAAATTTTTCGTAGAAGCAGAGGTCTTGCTATGTTGCTCAGGCTGGTCTCCAACTCCTGGGCTCAAGCAATTCTCCTGCTTTGACCTCCCAAAGTGTTGCGATTACAGGCATGCGCCATCATGCCCAGCTCTGTTCTATTTCTTGACTTGAGTCATGGTTATGTGAATGTTTACTTTATAAAATGGTATTGAGTTGTACTTTTCTATATCATGCACTTTCCCGAATGTATGTTATATTTCACAGTAAAAAGGGTGTTAAAAATCACATGAAACCCAATTATTTGGAGATAGTTATAAATTGAACACCTTGATGTATATATACTCCCAGAACTTCTTTAATGCAATATAATCTGGCCATATTGCTTTGTAGCCTTTAATTTTTTTTTAATTAATGATATGCCCTCTCAAAAGAATTCCTCTTTAGATTTTCTCCATTTCCACTTAATTTTAACTAAAAGTAAATATCATACAAGCTTTATGCCCCTCTGGAAGCCTAAAGCCATAGAGTGGCTTTCAGGAAATTAGGTTGCTTTAGCCTAAGCTACATTGATTCATAAACCAATCTACAGGATTTTGCCATAGCTCATGGGAGACTTTTCCTTCTCTGTTAATAATGTTGCTGCTTCAAAAGAGGAAAGCCTCTTTCCATCTCTTCAGAGTGCCAGCTCTGCAACAGAACAGGCCAGGAAATGAGGGGGAAAGGCCAGCGCAGAGGAGGGGACAGGGAGCTTGAGGCAGGGAAGGAGATCATCTTAGAACTGATTGCAATGTCTGCCATGCTGAGCTCATGCCTAGCCTGTCCCAGGCAATGACAGGAAGCAGATTTTCGAAGTGATCTAGGGATTCAAAATAAAAAAAAGTAGTTTCATTGCTTTTTCTTGCCCCTGGGATGGAACCAGTGTGCTTCCCTCTGCCTAGAACCCCCTCCCCTTTCCCTTGTCCAATCTCCAACCATCCTCCCTGTTCTTCACTGTGTCATCATCGTAGCCATTCACAGTCAAAGAACCCATCAATGAGCATCCAAACCTGAAGGGGACCACACGAGAGCCCCATGGCACCCTGTATTTACCCCGCCACAGCATTCATCAGCCTATGCCGAAGTTACTATTTTCTTGTCTACGAATACTCCACTAATCTGTAAACTCCATGAACACAAGGTCAGTCTGTTTCACTGTAGTAATTCCAAGCACCAGGATATATTGGCCCTTGATAATATATTCCTTGGATGCATGAAAATCAGGGTGATGCGTGAAGTGAGATGGGACCTGGGGTGGGGGAAGGATTTATTTTGTATTTATTTATTTATTTGTTTGTTTGTTTTAGAGACAGGATCTAGCTCTCTTGCTCAAGCTGGAGTGCAGTGGTATGATCAAAACTCACTACAGCCTGCAACTAGTGATCCTCCTGCCTCAGCTATAGCTAAAACTATAGGTGCACACCACCATACCTGGCTAATTTTCTTTCTTTCTTTCTTTCTTTTTTCTGACAGAGTCTTTCTCTATCACCTAGGCTGGAGTGCAGTGGCGCGATTTTGGCTCACTGCAACCTCCACCTCGCCTGTTCAAGCAGTTCTCTTGCCTCAGCCTCCCAAGTAGCTGGGATGACAGGCGTGAGCCACCACACCTGGCTAATTGTTTTGTATTTTTAGTAGAGACGGGGTTTCACCATGTTGGCCAGGCTGGTTTCGAACTCCTGACCTCAAGTGATCCGCCTGCCTCAGCCTCCCAAAGTGCTGGGATTGTAGGCATGAGCCACTGCGCCCGGCCACCTGGCCAAGTTTTTAAAGTGGGCCTTGCTCTGTTGCCCAGGCTGGTCTCAAACTCCTGGCCTCAAGCAGTCCTCCTGCCTTGGCACCCCAAAGTGCTGGGATTACAGGCATGAGCCACTGCACCTAGCCAGGGAGGGATTTAAATTATGCTTCCCCAGTCCCTTCATCTGTAGAGCACAAATGGCTTCAGGTTGTCCAATCTGAAGAAATATGCTAACACAGGATGGCACAACATTTTAAAATCTACAACTGTTCAGTTTCAAATACCTACTGGTAATAGCACTTTGCATTTGTATAGTGTTTGATATTAAACAGTTTCATGAATTATACAATTTCAACAACAAAGCCTCTGAGGTAAACTGGGATGATGTTAATATTACCATTTTGCAGATTAGAAAATTGTCTGAAAAAGGGTAAGTACCTAGGCCCACATCACATGATCAGTTTTTAGTACAAGCCAGGGACTAGTGACCCCTTAGGTGCTGAAAGGGAAACAAATAGAGTGTGTACTGCATACGGATATATTTTCAGGGACAAGGGACGTTAAATAAATAATGTGACACCTTTCTGACTTTTTGATCTTCAGTAGATATTTCTTCCCTGTTGGAGTATATCCAGAGAGAAAGGTAAGAAGTCACATGTTCATCACATTCTTTATGCAACAGTAGTTAAAAGACATGAATCTGGACTAACTGCATCTATCAAACATAAAAAGATTTCACCATGTGCTGACAATGGGGAAAATAGTTTTGGTTTTTGTTGTCTGGCCCCCTCTCTTCTCTGAACATAAGCTCTTTTTCTTGTGGTGATCTTGGCAGAAGAAATGCAGTAGGACAGAGGGGTTGGAGGAGGAGAAAGAAAAGGAAAGTAGAAGAAGATGGTCAGACATTGACAATGCGGACAGGAGAAAGGGGTGGAGAGCAATGGGGTGGGGCCAAGGGAAGGACCCACAGCAAGCTTTGATTCTCTGGGTTGTGCCACTCAAGAAAACCAGCTGCAGCAGCATCACCTGGGATCTGGTGAGAAATTCAGAATCTCAGTCCCCAACTCAGACCTACTCAATCAGATTCTGCATTTTAACAAGATCCCCAACTACTTCCTATGCACATTACAGCTTGAGAAGCCCTTAGTTGCTCCCAACCAGTCTGAGCCAGTCCTGATCAGTGTCATCAGCCTTAGACCTATTAATAGATGAAACTGGTTTGGTTGCCTAGAGACCTGGAAATCTGGTTGCTCCGTTCAGACTCCAAGTCTCAATGTTCTCTTACCACTTTGGCCAAAGCCCTGTGACTCCCAATCTGCCTCGGTTTCTCTGCTGAGTGTTTCAGTTCTCGCAGAGGTTGGATCCTTGTACTGAATCCCAGCCACCTACGCCTGGGTCCTGATTCTCTGCCAGACTCTGGCTCCCCACCTTCCTTTGGGAAGCAGGATGTGATTTCCTACTCTGGTGGCATCTTCTGGCTTGGAGCCCACTGTGACTAGACTGACCACCTGGAACCGTGCTGGATTTTGAGTATTGTCACCTGGATTTCTTCCAGAACTGTGCTCTGCTGGCAGATAAGACTGACTCTGATATCCGCACAGCCTGGGCCTCTGAGCTAGTCACACCCTTTGACAGCCGCACACAGCCTCCCTGGCTGTCCTTTGGGGATTGGCTAGCTTCTGTCCCGCTGGGTCTTGGCTGCTTCCCCCTTCCCACTGGCCCATGTTGATGTGGTCCTAGCCTGTTCTGTACCTAAATGTCTCCTACAAAACAGGAGGAGGCCACAGTCCCTTCTCTCTATTAACATCCATGACTCCATGGGCCTGTTTCTGTGTGGGCCTTGAAATTCCAAAGACTACTCTTGTAGCTCTTTAGGTAAAAGATATTCTAAAAGTCCTAGATGACTTGGTGTAAACAGGCTCAATGGTTTTGCATAGCTTGTCTTTTTGGCCCTTTTTCCAAGGTGGAGAAAAACTTCTTTGTTCCCTGACTTACTTTATAAACACAAGGCCAATCTATACAGAAGCTCAATAATTTCTCTGGTTATCACACAACCACTTTACTTTGACTGCTGGTGTTGTACCTCCTGCCATGCTCGATTTATGGTGGTACATTATACGAAGTATATCACATCTGCTACTGTGTTTTAAGCCAGCATGAAATGGCATGAAGTTCAAAACAATCAGGTTGGCTGTCAGTGATGGAGGCCGATTTTTAAACGAACATTACTCTCCATTAATGAACAATAGGGCATGATTTCTTTAAAATGGTTGCATCATTTTTATTCCTGAAAACTATTCTCATGGTGATTACAAATAAAGGGGTGAGGGGAGAAGAAGAAAGAAAACAGAAAGAAAGGAAGTGTGGCAGCACCCGCAGTAGCTAAGTAATGGTGTGGGAGTTGTTTCCATTATTTACATACATAACGCTTTTCACAAGAATCCAAATGTCTTACAAAAGAAAATACAACACACATTGCAACAAGACTCAGCAACACAGTAAGGTATAAAGAAAACAATTACTCAAAGGAAAATTTCAATCTAGCATAAATCATTTGCCTAAAAAGAATGGATAAGTATCCATTAACTGAATTTCCCCATACAAAGGTATGCACAGGGTGGTGTTTGCCAAGTAATATGCAAAATAGAGGTAAAAGATAGTAATAAAAGTATATCTAATATCATTTGAATGAGAAATACACATTATTTAAGGAAGTCACTTCAACTTCTAAAGTTGCATGACAATCTCATTGAATTAGCAGATATGGAGATATATATATAGAGATACACAGATATATACACACACAAACACACACACACACATACACATTTTCCAAAAGGCACTCTTGGCTGAGCAAAGTCAAAGGTTCTAGGAAGATAGGAAATATAAATTTTCGTTAGTCATTCATGGCTCAGTTTCATTGCGCTTTTCTTAAGGACCAAATTTACTCAGAATGGACTTTAATTGATAAATCATGAAGAAACTGTATTAGAAGTTTGAGTAAAAACACCAATTTTGAGGGATATCATGAAAGTACTCCTTTAGTTGCTTTCAGTTTTATGTCTGCTTTTATGGCATAATTTGAACAAGCTTCCTTCCATTTATCCAACCATTCAAACTTTGGGAAAAAGGGAAGCCCAATACGGGGGAAATGCTCTCAGGAAAAATTGCAAAAATGTTGCAGAAGCTTAAAACCTGATAATTATATAGAACATCACATCACTACTAGTGCTATTACAACATTAGTGTGTGTAGTTACAGTCAAACCACTCACGATTACGATGTCATTTGTCTTCTTTGTGTCTCTTTTGTTTTCACAAGTCACGTGGTAAAATCAACAAATACTACATCATCCCTCTGAGGATTCAGCTGTGGAAAAAGCATCCACTTGCTCATCTTTAGGGTAGCTATTATTAGCTTGCTTTGATTTTCTCATACGATACATACTCATGCTTATTAAGCTGTTTGTATGCTTCCTTTGTCATATTTTTCCATGGATATGCTATTGCTATGCAGTGCACTCTGGTGAAACCCAGAGTTACCCATTTCCACAGGCCTTTCTAAAATTAATATAATCCATCTATCTTTTAAAACATTATTTTTAAAAAGACATGCAACATCACATTTGCAATGAGAGTGAACATTTCTAAAGAAAATATTACCATATCTGTACTAGACTGAATAGCATGCACCCACATTCCTTTGCCAAAAATTCTTGCCCACCTAGAATTTGTGAATATGACCCTATTTGGAAATAAGCTCTTTGCAGATGTAATCAAGTTAAAATGATGTCATACCAAATTAAGGTGAGTCCTAAATCCAGTAGCTGATGTCCTTACAAGAAGGCCATGTGGAGACACAGATACACATAGGGAGAAGACGGGCACATAAAGACAGAGGCATTTTTTTCTTGGCCATCTGAGGAGCAAGGAGAAGACAGCCATCTGCGAACTAGGAAAAGGGCCCTCACCAGACACCAGATCTGCCAGCACTTTGATCTTGGACTTCCCAGCCTCCAGAAACTGTGAGAAGTAAATATTCACTGTTCAAGGCACCCAGTCTATGGATTCTGTTATAGCATCCCTGCCTGGCAAAGACAGCTTGGAATAGATTCTACCTCACAGCCTTCAAAGGGAGTGTGGCCCTGCCAAAACCTTGATTTTTGACTTCCAGCCTCCAGAGCTTGAGAGAATAAATTTCTGTGTCCTAAGCCACCCTATCTGTGATGTTGTGCTATGGCAGCCCTAGGAAACCAATACAACTCTCAATCTCCATATTGTGAAATAAGTAAGTCAATTATACAAAGACTTAATACTAGCTTTTCTGTAAATGATGAAAGTAGGGAAGGCAAAGGCTACTCGTCACAATGAGGAGGTAAGTGTGTACCAAAGGTATGATTAGAAATTGGTCAACATCATTAGTCATTAGAGAAATGCGAATCAAAACTGCAATGAGATACCATCTCACACCAGTCAGAATGGCTGTTGTTAACAAGTCAGAAAATAACGGATGCTGACAAGATTGCAGAGAAAAGGGAATACTTACACACTGTTGGTGGGAGTGTAAATTAATTCAACCATTGTGGAAAGCAGTATGGCAATTCCTCAAAGAGCTAAAAGCAGAACTACCATTTGACCCAGCGATTCCATTACTGGGTATATTCCCAGAGGAATAGAAATCATTCTACCATAAAGACACATGCACACAAATGTTTATTGCAGCACTGTTCACAATAGTAAAGATATGGAGTCAACCTAAATGCCCATCAATGACAGATTGGACAAAGAAAATGTGGTACATATACACCATGGAATACTACGCAGCCATAAAAAAGAACAAGATCATGTCTTTTGCGGGAACATGGATGGAACTGGAGGTTATCATCCTTAGCAAACTAATGCAGGAACAGAAAACCAAATACAGCATATTCTCACTTATAAGTGGGAGCTAAATGATTAAAACTAATGAACACAAAGAAGGAAACAACAGACTCTGGGACCTACTTGAGGGTGGAGGGTGGGAGAAGGGAGAGGAGCAGAAAAGATAACTATTGAGCACTGGGCTCAATACCTGGGGGATGAAATAATCTATACAGCAAACCCCCAAGGCACGTGTTTACCTATGTAACAAACCTTCACATGTACCCCCAAACCTAAAATAAAAGTTAAAAAATAATAAAATAAAACAGTGCTTGGCCCATTAAAAAAAATAAATTGGTCATTCTAGCATCACAAAGCAGGTAAAACTACAAAAGAATGAAAGTTTCAGGTAAAGCACAAAGGCACAGAGATCACATTTTAAAGTGAGGTATGAGAATCTGACTCTGCAAAATTTGCCAAGGAGGTTGTCAAAAACTGATTACATGGCTTTATGTTACATGGTGGATTTATTTGTAAATAAAAAGTACATTAATAAATGGGAACTAGAGATTAGAGGAGATGATTGTTCTGGACAGAAGTAGTCTGTGTGCTGGGTATTTTCCCCCACTCACCTTCCTTAGTCTAGTAGGGGCAAAGAGAGGGAGAGTGATTCCCTTGGATCAGACATGGACCACCTGAATATGGTGAACAGAACTCAACAGGGAGAAGCTAGAGGTGGTACCAGATTCCTGGAGGCTGAGGAAAGAGTAAATGATCAGCCACGTTCACATGTATTCATCCCTCCGTCGGAAAAAGCAGGTGACTCTACACTGAAATTCTAATTTTAATGAAAAAAATGCAAATGAAAGAGGTTCTACCCTGAGGTGTCTCCAAAGAACTCATACAACACCAACAAGAGAGACAACTTGAATACCTGTCAAAGTAAGAGAACTCTGATGCTATAGACGAGTACCAGGCAGGTAAGAACTGTCCTACTTCCCTTTCCTCATCTTCCTCCTGGTACTCCAACTCTGGAGAAGTGTGAGAGCACATTTAGAAAGATGAAGAAGGACAGGTGCGGTGGCTTATGCCTGTAACCTCAGCACTTTGGGAGGCCAAGGTGGGAAGATGGCTTCAGGCCAGGAGTTTGAGACCTGCCTGGGCTACATAGCAAGCCCTTGTCTCTAAAAAAATTTAAAAATTAGTTGGGCATAGTGGTGCATGCCTTTAGTCATAGCTACTTGGGTGGCTGAGGCAGGAGAAACCGCTTGAATCCGGGAAGTGGAAGTAGCAGTGAGCCGAGATCTCACCACTGCGCTCCAGCTTGGGCAACAGAGCAAGACCTTGTCTCACAAAAAAAAAAGAAAAGAAAAGAAAAGAAAAAGATAAACACAGTGAGCTGTGGAGAGACTTAGAAAAGGCACCTGATCCATCTGTAAAAGCTCATGGAGGGCTTGTTAAGGGAGATGACAGCAAAGTTGAGTCCTGAAAGTGAGGAAAATTTAGGAAGTATGTGTTCAGCAAACCCTAAGTACTGTTCTATGGAAGCATCACTGAGTGCAAGGGGGAGGGAAAAGAGATTGAGCTACAGACAAGCAGGAGCCCAAACATGAAGGGATTTCCATGCTATATTAAGGCATGTAGACTTAATCCAGTCAGTCAGAATATATATTATTCAATTGACTTAAAGTCAATGAGAAACTACTGAAGCATCTTTTACAAGGGAATGATAAGGCCTAGTATCTTAGGTGTATCAGTCTAGTTGCAGTATGGAAAATGGCTTTGAGAGGTATAATATAGGCAAGAAGCCCAGTAGGGAAAGTATTAAAGTAATCCAGGTAAGAAAAAATGGAAGAAGAGATGGAAAAGGCAGAATAATTTTACAGCAATGCATTATAGATTGAATTGTTTCCCCACCCCCAAATTCATATGTTGAAGGCCTAAGCCCCAGTGTATTTGGAATGGGGCCTTTGGAGATAATTAGATTTTAATGAGGTCGTGAGTGTTAGACATTCATGATGGAATTAGTGCCCTCTTAAGAAGAGACACCAGAGTGCTCTCTTTCTCTTTCTCATTCTGTTTCCCCTCCTGCCATGTGAGAACACAGCAAGAAGGTGGCCCTCTACAAGCCAGGAAGAGAGCCCTCCCCAGGAAGTAAATTGGCTTGCACCTTCCTCTTGGACTCCCAGCCACCACAATGATGAGAAAATAAATGTCTGTTGTTTAAGCCACCCAGTCTGTGGTATTTT
Source organism: Homo sapiens (assembly GCF_000001405.40). Classification (NCBI taxonomy): domain Eukaryota; kingdom Metazoa; phylum Chordata; class Mammalia; order Primates; family Hominidae; genus Homo; species Homo sapiens. The sequence goes on from NC_000006.12 coordinate 16,787,459, forward strand.
GTTGTGGCAGCCCAAGCTGATTGAGACACAATGGAAGTGGAATGAAAGATATGATAATTTATTCAATACAGGAAATAGATGAGTGAGGAGTCAAGGGTTGGATGAGTGTTGAGGTTTAGTGTGCAAAAAGAAAAGTAGACCTAAAATAAGGAACACTGTTAAAGAAGGGGGACCTGATAGAGACCAAAGAAAGCAGCCAGAGAGGTTTAGGGAAAGCAGAAAAGGCTAGTGGGTGGGAATGTTTTCAAAAAGAAGATAATGTTCAATTTGTGCAAATTCTATACAGATGTCAAGTGAGATCAAGTTGAAAGGTATCTGCTGGCTTTGGTGATAAATGTCTCTGGAGATCCTGGCAAGAATAGTTTAAATGTTGTGAGGGCAGAAAGGAAACTGCAGTTGTTAAAAAGGGAACGAGATGTCATGAAGTACAGACAGCAAGTATAGAAGGCACATTTGAGAATCCTGGCTGTAAAGTAAGGAAAAGGTGGAGAGGTGATGAGAAGGGAGGCAAGTGGGATTTTTTGTGGGGAGCTATGATGGGAGACAAGATTTTTGGGAGGAATGGTGTTGAAGAAGAATTAGAAGAGAGACAATTGAGAAGTCAGGTTCCTAAGTGTACAGGCTGTGATGGGCTACATAGCTCAGGTGCACTGACTGCCTTTAGAAGGAGGGGCTTCATCCTTCATCATGAGAGGAAAGTAAGGATGCTGTATTGGTCTATTCTCATGTTTTTATAAAGAAACCCCTCAAACTGGGTAATTTATAAAGAAAAGAGTTTTAATTGGCTCACAGTTCCACAGGCTGTACAGGAAGCATGAATGCTGGTATCTTCTCAGCTTCTGGGGAGGCCTCAGGAAACTTACAATCATGGTAGAAGGCAAAGGGGGAGCAGCACTTCACATGGACAGAGAAGGAGCAAAAGAGAGACAGTAAGGATGTGCCACACATTTTTAAACAACCAGATCTTGTGAGAATTCACTCATTATCATGAGAACAGCACTGAAGGGATGGTGCTAAACCATTCATGAGAAAAATCCCAATGATCCAATCACTTCCCACCAGGCCCCACTTTCCATATTGGGGATTAAAATTAAACATGAGATTTGGGTGGGGACACAGATCAAAACCATATCATTCCATCCTGGCCCCTCCCAAATCTCATGATCTTCTCATATTGCAAAATACAATCATGACTTCCCAATAGTCCTCCAAAGTCTTAACTCATTCCAGCATTAACTCAAAAGTCCAAGTTGAAAGTCTGATCTGAGACAAGGGAAGTCTCTTCCACAGATGAGCCTGTAAAATTAAAACTAAGTTATTTACTTCCAAAATACAATGGGGGTAAATATTTGGTAAATATTCTCATTCCAAAAGAGAGAAATTGATCCAAAAAAGTGGCTACAGGCCTGATGCAAGTCCAAAACCCAGCAGGACAGTCATTAAATCTTAAAGCTCCAAAAAAATCTTATTTGAGTTTATGTCCTCACACATGGTGTGAGGGGTGGGCTTCCAAGGCCTTGGGCAGGTCCACCTCTGTGGCTTTGTAGAATTCAGCCTCTGGGGCTGAATCATTGAGTGCCTGTGACTTTTCCAGGTGAAGGGTGCAAGCTGTGAATGGTAGATCTACCATTCTGGGGTCTAGAATGGTGGTTCTCTTCTCACTGCTCCACTAAGCAGTGCCCCAGTGAGAACTCTGTGTGGGGGCTCCAACCTTGCATTTCCCCTCCATGCTGTCCTAGTAGAGGTTCTCCATGAGGGCTCTGCTCCCACAGCAGGCTTCTGCCTGGAAATCCAGGCTTTTCCATACATCCTCTGAATCTTAGGTGGAAGCTCTCAAGCCTCAACTCTTGCATTCTGTGCACTGGAAGGCCTAACACCATGTAGAAGCCACCAAGTCTTACAGCTTGTACTCTCTGAAGCAGCAACCTAAACTGTACCTGGGACCCTTTGAGCCAAGGCTGAAGCTGGAGTGGCTGGGATGCAGGGACCAGTGTCCTAAGGCTGTGCAGGGAATCAGGGCCCTGGGCTTGGCCCATGAAACCATTCTTCCCTCCTAGGCCTCAGGGCCTGTGATGGGAGGGGCTGCCACAAAGGTCTCTGAAATCCCTTCAAGGCCTTTTCCCCATTGTTTTGGTTATTAGCACATGGCTCCTTTTTACTTATGCAAATTTCTGCAGCCTGCTTGAATTCCTCCCCTGAAAACGGGCTTTTCTTTTCTACCACATGGGAAGTTGCAAATTTTTCCAAACTTTCACTTTCTGCTTCCCTTTTAAATATAAGTTCCAACTTTATGTCATTTCTTTGCTCACACACATAAGTAGGTTGTTAGAAGTGGCCAGGTCACATGTTGAAGGCTTTGCTGCTTTAGAATTTCTTTCTGCCAGATACGCTAACTCATCACTCTCAAGTTCAAAGATCCACAGATCCCTAGGGCAGGGACACAATTCAGCCAAGTTCTTTGCTAAGTCCTAACAAAAGTGACCAGTTGCCAATAAATTCCTCATTTCCATTTGAGACCTCATCAGCCTGGCCTTCACTGTCCATATCACTATCAGCATTTTGGTCACAACCATTCAACCAGTCTCTAGGAAGTTCCAAATTTTCCCTCATCTTCCTGTCTTCTTCTGAGCCCTCCACACTCTTCCAACCTCTGTCTGTTAGCCAATTCCAAAGCTGCTTTCACATTTTCAGGTATCTTTATAGCAATGCCTCACTCCTCAGTATTAATTTTCTATATGAGCCCATTCTTGCATTGCTACAAAGAAATACCCAAGACTTGGTAATTTATAAAGAAAAGAGGTTTAATTGGCTCATGGATCTGCAGGATGTACAGAAAGCATGATGCCGGCATCTGCTTGGCTGCTGGGAAGGCCTCAGGAAACTTACAATCATGGCAGAAGACAAAGGGGGAGCAGCACTTCACATGGCCAGGGAAGGAGCAAGGCAGGGAGGGAGGTGCCACCCACTTTAAACAACCAGATCTCATAGGAACTCACTCACCATCATGAATATAGCACCAAGAGGGCAGAGCTAAACCATTCATGAGAAACCACACCTATGACCCAATCACCTCCCACCAGGCCCCACTTCCAATGTTGGGGATTACAATTGAACATGAGATTTGGGTGAGGACACATATTCAAAGCATATCAGATTGGTGCAGATGTATGTAGGTGTGGAGATAATTCTACCCAATGGATTCCATTTTCTCCATGAGATAGCAGGCAAGAGTGAGGTAGGTAGGGAGATGTTAGAATAGGGGATGGAAGGAGGTGGCTTGAGTAACTGCTATGAGGTGTGGGAGAGAGAGAGAGCTGACCATAAACACAGTAGAAATGGCCATCAGTGTGGAAGCAAGTTGAATTTGTACCCCAAGGAATTTCAATGCTTCGATTCCCTTGTCTGTACAATTTTCTCTTTCCTACTCAAGTGAATATGAAAAGAAGGCAGATAATTAGATTGTTACAAAGTTTGAATTTTGCTATGATTGAGAAAGAAGAACAAGGTGAAAAAAGTTGAAGACTGTGGCAAAGAGAGTTGTCCAAATGAAAGTCCATGAGGTCTAATTAGATAGGGATGGAAGTGAATATGGGCAAAGGCTCACAGATAATAAAGCAGTAAAGTCAAGACACTGGACATCTTCATAAGGCAGAAAAACAAGTATATTGAGTATAAAACAGGCAGAGAGCTAGAAGCAAAAAGATGAATAATTGAGTGATGTTTGAATTTAAGATTTTTAAGGTACTACAGTTCTGGGTGGGCTTTGATCATGGGTGGCTAAAATGGAGTGAAAGTAAAGTTGAAAGTATAGTTGAGGAGGTCAAATAATTTAAGTTAGGTGCTCAGAGTGTTTCTACTTCCAGTAAGATGGAGTAGACATAATTTTCCCTAGTCCTCTTCCAAAGTACAACTAAAAAACCATATATATATCATACATATATATACACCATATATATCTATATATACATCATATCTATATCTATCTATCTATATCTATATCTATATCTATATATTAAAGACTGAAATGAGAAAACAGAAAGCTGACCAGATAGGCATCTTGAGACTGGAGAAATGAAATGGTAGTGAATTCCCTGGATTTTCTTTTTGTCTCACATATGGCAGACTTGGAGTGGAAGAAGCCAGTCAAAACAGTAATGGGCATAGACAAAAAACAAAACAAAACAAAACAAAAGCACCCATAAAATCTGCTCTCTTTAGCCAAAGGACCAGGAAAGAGACAGTTTAGCAAGACAGAAGACTTTTACACCATAACCAGTTGACTACAGCCAAACACCACAAAATAACTGTGGTCCACCATGACCAGCAAAGGCCATGTGGAGAGCCTGTATTTCCACACTTACCAGGCTATAATGAAGCATTCCACCTTTTTGCTAGGGTAGTGTCAGAGAAGACAGTTGAGTCCTGGGACTTTCGCCCTTGTGGGTGGTAACTAGTCCTCCTGTGCTCTCCATCCCCCAGGATATGGGTTGAGACTACATAGGGAGTATGGACTGAGATTTCGTGGCTGCAGTGACAAGGCCTCCCTCCCTCTCCCCATTGGGATGGTGTGAGAGGAAGTCTAGGAGTACTTAAGAGTATCCCCACTGGATTGTCAAAGGAGGCCAAGTGGAGAACTTGAACTTCAACCCTCCCCTGGCAGTCATGAGGCAGCACTCCAAACCCCATGTTCTGTAGAAGCAGTGTCATAGGAAGCCAGCTAAAACAGAAGGTTGACTATATAACACACTTATTGTTAACTATAGTCAACCTTATATTTAAGTATTTGTAGCAAAATATCACTGTATTATATGTGATATACTTTTATACAACTGGCATCACAATAGGTTTGTGTGCACCAGCATTGCCACCAACATGTGAGTAATGCTTTGTGCTACAATGTTATGACAGCTACAACATTACTAGGTGATAGGAATTTTTCAGCTCCATTATAATCTTATGGGACCACTGTTGAATATGCAGTCCATCATTGACAAAAACATTGTATATATAGCACATGGCTGTATGTACAATTTTTCTTTATCAATTATATCTCAATAAAGCTGGGAAAAACTTTAAAATACATTTAAGAAACAAAGTTAAAGTAATAAATAAGGAGTCAGAAATAAAGGTGTCAGCAGAGCCATGCTCCCTGTGAAGTCTCTAGGGAAGAATCCTTCCATGTCTTTTCCTAGCTTCTGGTGGCTTTTTGATCCTTGGCATTCCTTGGCCTGTAGCTGCATCACTCCAATCTCTGCTTCCATCATTACATGCCTTTCTTCCCCCGTGTGTATCTGTGTGTCTTCTTCTTATAAGGACATTAGTCATTGGATTTAGAGAGCCTACTAATATAAATGTAACTAATTATACCTGCAAAGACCCTATTTCCAAATAAGGTCACATTTTAAGGTTCCAGGTGAATATAAACCTCAAAGTTAATGAAATAAGACAATCAAGAGATGGCAACAGGTATAAGACAGATATGTTAGAATTATTTGACAAAGATTTTAAAGCATTGTAAAAATGCTCCAATGAGCAATTATAAAAACACTTAAAAATGAAAAAATAGAAAATCTCAGCAAAGAAAAAGAATATATAGGAAGAATCAAATAAAATTTCCAGAACAGGAGGATACAACAATTGAAATAAAAAGCTCAGTGGATGAGCTGAACAGGAAAGTAGAAAGTACAGGAGGAAAGAATCAGTAAATGGAAGATGACTAGAAATTACCGATCTAAACAACAGAAAGAAAATACACTGAAAATAATGAACAGAGCCTTAGGCACCTGTGGGACAATAACAAAAGGTCTAACATTCATATCATCAGAATGTTTTGGTAGGGAGAAGAGAGGAGAAAGGAGACAGGGCTGAAAAAAGTACTCAGAAATAATGGCTGAAAAGTTCCCAAATTTGGGGAAAGACACAAACCTATAGATTCAGAAAGGTGAGAAAATCCCAAGCATAAAACCCCTCTGCAAAGCACATGACAGGCAAGTTTCTGAAAACTGAAGACAAAGAAAAAAGTCTTGAAAGCAGCAAAGAGAAATGACACCTTACCTTTAGGGAAAAACCAATTTCAATTACAGTGGATTTCTCATCAGAAACTATGTAGCACAACATTTTTTAAGTGCTGAAAGAAAAAAAAAATTATCAACTTAGAATTCTATAACTAGGAGAAATATCCTTCAGGCATAAAAGCAAAATCGAGACATTCTCAGATGAAAGAAGACTAAGAGAATCTGTTACCAGCAGACCTACCAAAAAGAATGGCTAAAGGAAGCCTTTTAAACATCAGAAGGAAGAAACAACCTGGTAAGCAAAAATATGGGTAAATATAATAGACTTTCTTTCTCCTCTTGAGTTTTCTAAATTATGTTTTACCATAGAAGCAAAAATGATAACATTGTCTGATATGGTTCTAAATATATGTACAGGAAATAACTAAAGATAATTTTTTAAAGAGCTGGGTAAAGAGACATAAAGGGAGATTTACAGTTCACTTAAACTGGTAAAACAATTGCATCAGTAGACTGTGATAAGTTATGTAAACATAGTGTAATACTTAGAACAACCACTAAAAAGGCTATACAAAGAGATAGTCTCAAAAACACTATAAATAAATAGTTTATTTTTCAGAATTCTGAAACAATGTTAAGTAACCGACAGGAAGGAAGAAAACAGGACATAATGCAGAGAGAACACGTAGACAAAAAAAGACTTAAGCCCTAAAATATTAATAATACATTAAATGTAAATGGTCAAAATAGACGTTGAGAGGCTGGATTAAAAAACATGATCCAACTATATGCTGTCTATAAAAAACTCACTTCAAATATAACTATACAGGCAGGTTGAAACTAAAAGGATGGAAAAAGATATATCATAGGAACATTAATCAAAAGAAATGAGAAATGGCTATATTAACATCAGACAATATGGACTTCAGAATAAAGAAAATTACCCAAGACAGAGAAGGATGTTATATGGCAATCGTAAATATCTACATACCGAACAACAGATCTGCAAAATATGTGTAGCAAAAATTGATTTCAATGAAAGGATAGGCCAGGCACGGTGGCTCACTCCTGTAATCCCAGCACTTTGGGAGGCCAAGGCAAGTGGGTCACTTGAGGTCAGGAGTTCCAGATCAGCCTGACCAACATGGTGAAGCCCCATCTCTACTAAAAATACAAAAATTAGCCAGGTGTGGTGGTGCACGCCTATAATCCCGGCTACTTGGAAGGTTGAAGCAGGAGAATGGCTTGAACCTGGGAGGCAGAGGTTGCAGTGAGCTGAGATCACACCACTGCACTCCAGCCTGGGCAACAGACCAAGACTCCGTCTCAAAAAACAATAATAAGAATAAATGAAAGGATAAATAGACATATACATGATTATATTTAGTGACTTTAAACTCCTTTCTCAACAATTGATAGAATAATTAGGCAGAAAATCAGCAAGGATATAGAAGAATCCAACAAACCCATCAATCCATAAAATCAAATTGGTATTTATACAAGAGCAGAATACATTATTTAAGTGTCCTTAGAACATGTGCCAACAGCAACATATCCCGGGCCATGAAATGAACCTCAACAATTTTAAAGAGTCGAAATCATACAGAGTTCTTGAACTACAATGGGATCAAACTAAAAACCAGTAAACAGAAAGAAAATCGAAAAATCTCCAAACACTCAGAAACTAAACACTGCAGTTCTAAATAACTCAATGGTCAAACAAAATCTCAAAAGAAATTGACGCATTGAACTGAATGAAGATAAAACATAGCAAAATTGTAGGATGATGCTAAAGCAATGCTGACAGGGACATTTATAGCACCAAATGCACATTAGAAAAAGGGAGAAGAACAACATCAACGATCTAACATTTCACCTCAAGCATGTAGAAAAGGAAGAGCAAAGCAAATTCAAAGCAAACAGAAGGAAGGAAATAATGAAAATAAAAAGACAAATCAATGAAATAGAAAACAGGAAAACAAGAGGGAAAATCAATAATACAAAGAGCTGCCTTCAAAAACATCAATACGTTCTTCTAATAATCTTGACAAAGAAAAAGGAGAGAAGATACAAATGACCAATACCAGGAATGAAAGAAGATAACACTACAGACCCTAAAGACACTAAAAGATAATAAGGGAACACTATACAAAACCTTAAGCATGTACAGCTGACAGTGCAGATAAAATAGATCGATTCTTCAAAAATAAGAAGCTGCCACGCCTGACCCAATACAAAATAAATAATTGGAATGGCCCTATCATCATTAAGAAAATTGAATTTGTAAGTTAATAATTCCCCCCAAAGAAGTCTCCTGGCTTAAATGATTTTACCGGAAAATTCTACCAAACGTTTGGACAATAAGTACCAATTTTGCAATCTCTTACAGAAAATAAAAGAGGAGAAATCACTTCTCAATTCATTTTATGAAGCTAGTATTATCCTTATACCAATGCATACAAAGGCAGTATCAAATAAAAAAACTTCAGATCAAGAGTCTCATAAATATAGGGTGCAAAAATCTTTAACAAAATATTACAAACAGAATTCAGCAAATATACAAAGAAGTATACACCATGACTAAGTGGGGTTTAGGCCAAGGATGCAAGGGGTTCAATATTTGAAAATCTATCATTATAATCCATCATATTAACAGGCATAGAACCCAGAAACAGACCCACACAAATATGCTCGGTTAGTTTTTACAATGGTGCAAAAGTGATTCAATGGAGAGAAGATAGCTTTTTCCACAATTAGTGCTAGGGAACTGGACATTTATCAACAAAAATATTGAACCTCAACCTTATACAATAATGAACTTACAATGTGTCACAGAATTAAATATAAAACAAAAAGCTAAACACCTTATAGGAAAAAAAATAGGAGCCTCTCTCTGGAATCTAGGGCCAGGTAAACAACTCCTAGACTTGACACTGAAAGTACAATTCATAAAAGGAAAAATTGGTGAACTAGACTTCATCAAAATTAAAAATTTTTTCTCTGTGAGAGACACGGGATGAAAAGAATGAAAAGACAAGCTACAAACTGCAAGAAAATATTTGCAAACCACATATACAACAAAGGCAACAATCCAATTAGAAAATGAACAGGCCGGGCGTGGAGGCTCACGCCTGTAATCCCAGCACTTTGGGAGGCCGAGGTGGGCGGGTCACAAGGTCAAGAGTTGGAGTGAAACACTGTCTCTACTAAAAATACAAAAATTAGCTGGATGTGGTGGTGGGTGCCTGTAATCCCAGCTACTCAAGAGGCTGAGACAGGAGAATCATTTGAACCCAGAAGGTGGAGGTTGCAGTGAGCTGAGATGGCGCCATTACACTCCAGTCTGGGCGACACGGTGAGACAGCGTCTCAAAAAAAAAAAAAAAAAAGAAAAGAAAATGGACAAAAGGCATGAAGAGGCATTTCACCAACCAGGATATATAGATGGCAAATAACCACATGAACACATGTTCAACATCATTTGCCATTAGGAAAATGCGAATTATAAAATCACAAGATAACTCTTTACACCTATTAGAATGACTCAAATAAAAACAACGACAACACCAAATGCTAGGGAGGATGTAGACAAATTGGATCACTTGTACATTGCTGGTGAGAATATAACCCCAAATGGTACAGCCACTCTAGAAAAGTTTGCAGTTGCTTAAAAAACTAAATATGCAACTACTTTATGACCCAGATGTTACATTCTCGAGCATTCATCCTGGAGAAATGTAGATTTATGTTCAGACAAAAACTTGCACACAAATGTTTATAATAGTAACTTTATTTGCAATAGCCCCAAACTGCAAACAAATCTGCATGTCCTTCAGCAGGTGAATGATTAAACAAACTGGTATATCCATACCATGGAATACTATTCAACAGTAAAAAGGACAAACTATTGACATAGGCAACATCCTGGATGAGTGTCCAAAGAATTATGCTGAATTTAAAAAGCCAATCCCAAAGGGTTACATACAATGATTCCATTTATAAACCATATTCAAAAATGACAAAATCATAGAAATGAGAACTGATTAGTGGTTGTAGGGACAGGGAGGGGGCTGAGGCTGGAGAGAAGCTGGTGTGACTTTGAAAAAGCCAACATGAAGAATTTTTGTGGTGATGGAAATATTCTGTGTCATGATTATGTCAATGTTAATATCCTGGTTGGTAGTTAGCATACTATTATTTCATAAGACGTTATCATTGAGAGAACTGAGTAAAGAGTACATGGGATCTGTCTGTATTATTTCTTACAACTGCATGTGAATCTGTAATTGTCTCAAAATTAAAAGTTTAACTTTTTGAAAAAGGGGTTAGGTGCTAGATCAATCACCCCAACAAACACTGAATCGCCAGGAGGATGGCAAGACTTGGGGTGGAGCCAGCAGCACTTCTGCCACCTTCTCTCACCCTCTGCAAGCTATCACTGCTTTCTAAAGTGGTGGGCCACTGAGTGCATGGCTGGAGTTCTCTTAAAGACCTGCAGTCACCATGGCACTCTACCCCAAGGAGATAGGCTCCTGGTCTCCAGGACTTTTGTGTTCTCCACATTATCTGGATGTCCCTAAAGCCTCAGTGGCCTAGGTTTGGGACAAAGGGGCATGATGACTAGAGATTTCAAGACCCAGGACAAATGGCCAAGGTCACATGCTCCAAGAGTGGGTAGCAGCACGTCATCCCTCAAAGGCCAGACTGAACAAGCTGCATCTTCGTGGTCATCAGTGTGCAGAGAAGCCCAGTTCTCCCATGCTCCAAAAGAGCTCAATCAATGGTGCAGAGGGCCCTTCTCTCTTCTGTCATGAAAATATGGTATGCCTTCCACATGACAGAGTGTTTACCTGTAGAGACTGTCAGTCCACACTGATAGGGAATTAAAATTGTAATTTGCAATGTTTAAACTGCAAGCAACTTAATTGAAAGAGACTGAGATATTGTTATCTGAAAAGTCTAGGTTGTTCCTATTGCCCAGTGGGGTGGGACAGGTGCTTATGAGGCCACTTCCAAGGGGGTGAAGATGCTTCCTTTGCTTGCACACCTTTGCTCCCCTATGCCACTTCTAACAACATCTGCTACCATCAATGTCTTCTTTTTTAATGTCACTACCTTCCTTGTGACATTCCCATCATCAGGGAAGAAAGCACTCTACTGGCAGAGTTCTTCCACTGTCTCAATTACATGTGCACTGGCAGGTCTGAGCCTCTTTTTTTTTTTTTTTTTTTTTTTTTGAGACGGAGTCTCACTCTGTCGCCTAGGCTGGAGTGCAGTGGTGTGATCTCAGCTCACTGCAACCTCTGCCTCCCGGGTTCAAGCAATTCTCCTGCCTCAGCCTCCCCAGTAGCTGGGATTACAGGTGCGTGTCACCATGCCTGGCTAACTTTTTGTATTTTCAGTAGAGACGGGGTTTCACCATGCTGGCCAGGCTGGTCTCGAGCTCCTGACCTCGTGATCTGCCCACCTCAGCCTCCCAAAGTGCTGGGATTACAAGTGTGAGCCACCGCGCCCGGCCTGAGCCTCATTTTTTAATTTGTAAAATGAAAGACTAGTATTTGAAAAATCTCTAACATTTTTTCTAGATCTTGTCATTTATGGCTCTATGAAATGTCCTTATCCTCCAGCACTGCTTTGCCAAGTTTTCATTGTAGCAAATTAAAATAAAAGAATATCAACCAGGATTCATCTTAGAGGGGGCAAAAAAATCTTTATTTAATAAATGTTATTAATGACATCCATGAGTCATTTGGTTGAAAAAAGTAGGCCCCAATCCAGTCTAAAGGAAGAATGCAGAATAAAAAATATGATGAATTTATGTGTTTAATTAAACGAATGAGATTGGATTTATTTTCCTTTCTTTTCTGTTTTTTCCTTTTCTTTTTCTTTTTTTGTTTGCTGCCCTCTCCCCCCAAAAGAGAAGACGAAGAGAGGCAGCAAAGGTAGGATGAGTGAGCAATGAGATGGGGCAGCCAAAGGATTTTTCAAAGCAGCTATGCCTAATGTGCCATTTTTAGATGTGCACATTACTAGGCTGTACGTTTATATCCCCAGCACCTGCAGTAATCACTGCATCTCAGAAAGCCTTTGTGCAAGTGATTTTTGGTGGAAACTAAGAAAAGAGGCAGGGTTTCAGTAAAGGGAATAAATGAATGGGGAAAGAAGCAGGGACAGAGCCTGGTGAGGAAGGCGCTGGATTTTCCAGAGGACCTGGAGTGGGGATTCAGGCCAGTGTTACCTAGGTCTTAACGGCAGGGAGAGCCCAGCCCACATCTGGTTTACATATCCTTTTCCCCTTTATCATCTTCTCTACAAAACCTTTGCTGAGCCTTTCCAAATGGTGATCCACCCACGGCACCACATTTTAATAATTTCTTGTAAGACATTTACCCTATTCTGCCCTGATTTATAGTTATCTGTACATCTGCCTTACACAGTATACTAGATCGTGCACTCTTTAGGGACTCTGGCCTTACAGTGCCAATGATAGTAAATGCTCAATGGTAATTTATTGAATGGAATTTCTTTCTCAGCCATCGTCCTCTATTCTCCTAGAGGCTTTTAGTTGGGATGAGTCACACTGTTGACACATAGCAAATATTAACAATGACAATGAATGTGAACACCAGGGGTATTTCATATTTGCAAAAAAATAATATCTGGAGTGCTTGCAAGTAGGAAATCATATATATGTGCTTGGGGTGGGATGGGGAAGGCAGGCTTCACCACTAGTTATTTTACTGCTTTCTCAACTGACAAAGATCCACATGGAATATACTTTCATCCCCTATATAAAATTAATTGTACAGCTGATCCAGAGAAAACTGTATGAACAAATTTAACCTCATGACTTCCACTATTTTATAATAAAAGGCTTAAAGCATAATGTGAGCTTTTTTTAGATGTAAAGTTCCGTGTGAGTAGTGTGTTGTTAATTTCATATTAATGCAGGGTGCCAGCAGAACTCAGCACAGAATCTAAAGAAGGAAATCATGTTCCTGCAGCTCTGATATCTGGTGAGCAGGGTTTGGCTAATTTTTTACTTTCTCTTAGATGAACTGAACATCCTTCCCACAATGATGCAGCACAGACCTTTGCAACACGTTTATCTCCCCAGTTCCCCCTGCTAACAATCAAGAAACAAAAGAGAGACAATTATTTGCTAAAACATAGCTGCGTTACCAGCAAATGTGCAGACTCTACTGAGCATTAATTGATATTTGTACTCCATTACCTACTTCTCTTTGAGAAGGAGACCTCACAAAGTTGACATGTTTTTCCTATTTGTATGCATTGGATATAGCTTCCGACCTTACCTTATGCATATTCCTGGGAGTTAGATGTGAGATATTATTTTTGTACACCTCAGTGAAAATTGGACAACACTGTATCATCTGCCCATAATGAGCTTCCTCGCAGAGAAGACGAAAATCGAATCACAATCTTTTCCTCGAACATGCTTCAGGTGTTGTCCTATTTCTTTGGAAGTCTTCATGAAATCTATATCCCAGAAATTAAACTAGAGTCATTTTCTCCCTGACCACAGAGTTTTATCTGAATTGAAACCTTCCCCTAAAGTTGGTGTGATGTTCCTTTCTGAGTCCTGCTCTTGCACAATCACTACGGTGTCTGATGACACATTTTTTCTTCCATTTCTGTCTTATCATATTCCTTTTACTACCACTTAATGTGGTTCTTTAAATAGGTTATGTGTAGGACTGGGAGGGAGGAGAGGAGTGGAGAGGTGTAGTCACAGAGCAGGCCACACTACCAGGCCACCAGAAGGGGCTCCAGCAGGCTATGTGCAAACCTCCAGCCTTGTCGTCTTTTCTCAAAATTTTGAAAAACTTCAGGACAGAAGAAAAACAGAAGCTGAGCAATTTCCAGCAGCAGGTGGGTGGTCCCTTTAGCAGGGAGAGAATGGGTGTCCAGTGTGACACCCTCCGGTGTCCCATGACTTGTCTGGGGGTCCAAAGGTCCTCCCTTCCTTCCCCTTCTTCCTCTCCTCTTTGTATTCACTATTCTTGTGGCTAATCCAGTAAAAGCTAAAATAGCTGTTCTAAATAGATGCATTTGGAAGCCTTCATTGGGGAAAGGAGGAAGATCTGGCATCACCATGAGCTGCATGAAGAGGCTTCCCCTCTGTTTGCTTTTATATATTCCCTGAGGGCTGCCTAGCTCTTCTTGTGACAGTATCATATGCATCCACATGTTTAATAAGTTAATGAATATTAGTTAACAATGAAAAATGACTTCATGAAGCCTGCAACATTTTACTTGGCCTGCAAATGAAAACAGAAGCCATTTTGAACCCTTTTGGGGAAAAATATGGATGCTTTCACCCAACCACAGTAGCTTTCTCCATCCCATCTTGAAAGCTGCCTGCAAAACCCTGTCCCAGTCATTCTGACAGCTTTCCAGGTTAGGAGACTAAGAGACACACAGTCTCCTAACTGTCTTTTACAGTGGATTCTTCTGTCTGTAATAAGCTACTTGGTTTCTCAGTACCTGGCTTTATTCCTACATCCTTTCTCAGCTCAGGGCTAGGTCCTCCCTTCACCTATCGTCCCACCAAAGGAGTTTGGGCCTCTCTCTCTCTCTCTCTCTTTTTTATTTTTTTTGGCCTAGTGGCCCTAAAGTCTTGAGCACAGAAACCTTCATTCTGATTTTAAAATTAAAACCTGCTGCCAGTGTGAGGCATGTGTGAGTGATCCTGCTGATACAAAATTGCTGGCTCTATTGTAGCCTCTATTTTTACATCTGTCAGCCAGAAAGCCACAAGGAGCTGGATGAAGAAAGGGACGATGGTTTGCCAAAGATGATGTAAGGACCCAGACTGGCTCATATTGTGCATACAGCCAGCAACTGTTGAGTGTTGAACACGTGTTCTAATTCTACCATCTTTCCTGTCTTCCTTCTCATTTCCCCCATACAACTTGTCCACCCAACAAGTTAGGGAAAGTCAGGAGCCAGCAACACTGAGCCTATATTGCATGGAAGAGATTCCACGCACTTCAGAATGGGTAAAATATGTGCTCATCGTTCCCTATTTTAAAACCCTTATAGCACATTTTTGCCAACATTTACCAATGTGCTACCAACTGTGAATTTGTGCAAAGAATCATGCATAGCATTTCAAGGTGATAATCCCATATGTAACATTTTGCTAGGTCTCTTTCAGGGAAGTTTTCATGGCCCTCAATGGATTGTACTCCACAAACCAAGGTCTGAAGAAGACTAGAATGCTGGGTGAAACTGAAAGTGGTGGGTTTCATAGAAAATCATGGGAAAATATCTTTACAGACTCAAAAAATCCAAATAAACAAGAGAAGCACTCTGAATAGCAGGTCAGATGTTCTATGCAGATAGTTTTAAATGGAACTTCAGATAAATACTGAATGTTCCATTTTAGATTCACGTACAGGAGTTAAAGTAAAATTTTCTCTTCCTTCATATTGATAATGGCCCAAGCTGATCCAACACAGACAAATTAACATGTTGTAAATATCCTGAAGGAAAAGTTGATAAATCAGCTCCTGTTCTTTTCACTTTAGGGAGAGTTTTATCAGATGATAAATAGTGGAAATGTATCTATTCTGAACTCAGAATCACTGCTTTGCAAAAAAGTCATTTTTAAGCTAGTTTACAAGTTCAAATCATTTCAAAGCTGGCTTCCTTTTTTAGTGGGCAGTCATTGAAGTAGGGGAAAAGGGGATGATCTGGAGACTTTACTGAAAGTGGTTGCGGTAAAGTAATTCCCAACACTTCTGCCTGGCTGCCTTCTTGTCTCCCTTCCCCACACCCTATAGACATCCATGTTGGTTTTAAAAGCCACATAACTCAGAGAAAAAAATTAGCTGGGTGGAAGGTAGGCTTAGCCAAGACTCCACGTGGCAGCCAAGGTACAGGCCTCAGGAGGCCGCTGATCTGTCATTCAGCTCCGAGAATTCCTGCTCCTCCCCGCTTTGCCCTGGAAAGAGCGCTCTTGGGCTGCTGCTGAGAGCTCAGCCTGAAACCTCGCGTTCAGGTTCATTACTACTTCAGCAGTTTGCAGCAGGGAGACAGGGCAGAATCCTGCTCTGATTGGCTGTCGTCCTCTGACTTAACAGCGGCCCAGCAAATCACTAGCCTGTACTCCAAGAGCATAAAGATGAATTGTAACAGCCAAGGCCCTGGGGGAGAAAAAAAGAGCAACCACCACCAAAACAAAACCGTGCACGCAGCCTCTGGAGGGACCCCGGAGAGCCCGCTCTCCTCTGCAGGAAGCCCTTCTGGGCAGGCCCGTTTGCACCCCAACGCCTGGGCACTCCGCTGAGTTCATACCATTTTCAAAGTAGGTCATTCAAAGTCATCTCAGCAGAGGAGGGAGAAGCTGTGAGCAACTGTCATCAGAGCCTGGGAGGAGGCCCAGACCTTGCACTGGAGGGTGGGGAACATAAGGCTGGGGCCGCTGGGGCAGGAGGCGGCTACTGAGATGCTCGCTCGCCTTTCTCAAACAGCGACAGAGGCTTAAGCAGATCCACTCCCTTTGCTGTTCACAATCGGTCAGGGACTAACTGTTCCAGGCAAACCTCTAGCAGGACTTAAATGATAACCTGAATGAAAATTCACTCTAAGGAGGATGATGTCATCTTTATTCAGCTCTTTGTTCTACGTGTTCAGAAAATTCATTGTTATTTATGAAGCACGTGGGGTTTTTCTAAGAAGGCATGCTGCTACCCCCTGAGGAGAAGGCAAGTAAAAATACATGGATGTATGCAAAATTTTCCTAACTAATGTAGCAGGGAAAATACATACAAAACAAATGCATGTATCATTAGAAATATATACCTCGTACATGAAACACATAAAACTCACACAGTGTCATTCACTCTCACACTGATCAAAAAGGAAACCCCACTTTCTTGATCCGTGACATGCATAGACACATGTCAAATGAGTGCTTGCAAAATATACATTGTCTTTAAACATGACCTACCTTCAGGTATCATTAAGAAGTTACCTTTGCTGTGCTATTTCCTTCATCCTGTAATACCCTCCCTTTCCTCTTCTGGCAAAACCTACCCACCTTTCAAAACTCCTTTTAAATCCTTCCTCTTTAGGAAACATTCTCTGTCTCCTGATTCTCAGTGATTATTTCTCTCCAGCCAGAACCCCTGCAGCAATAAAAGTAGCCAATACCACACACCTAGGTATAGCTTTCATACCATGCGGTTGCTCTCTAATTGTTTATTGCACCATAACTCCTAGAAAGCAGGGGCAGTGTCTCATACTTCAATTGTACATCCCACATATTTAGCACCAACCTATTGCTTTAAGGACAACGGAGAAATGAAGGGGAGGAGGAAGGGAGAAAACTAACATTTATCGAATGCCTAGTAGAAACTAGCTACTGCACCAAGATTACTACGGATTTCTTTTTCATTTAAAACTCATAATGGCCCTAGTGTGGAAGATTTGCTTTCCACCATTTTAAAGATCAGGAAACAGAGGCTTAGAACAGTTACGTAACTTACCCCAAACCAAACAGCCAGTAAGGAGAGGAACCAAGATTCAAACACGGCTGTCTGACTCTCAGCTTTTTCTCCTACCCTCTGATCCTCAAGCTTGGCTGATCAGCTTTAAAAATAATCAGCTTCAGATTCCTAGGGCCCACCCCTGAACATTTTTATTTGCATTTCTAAGCCCAGGAGAGCAGGAAGTATGTATTATATTAACGGCAACGTTCCCAGCAATGCCTTCTATATAGTAGCAGTCAGCAGGTACTTGCTAAATGGCTAAGTCATTCCATCTATCTAGAGCAGTAGCTCTCAGGCCTGTCCATAAGTTAAAATCACCTGGACCGCTGATTAAGCAATGACTCTCTCTAGGCCCTACCCCCAGAGAGATTCTGATGCAGTCGGTGTGGGGTGGGGCTGCCTGGCAGGCATCCTAGTCTTCAAAAACTCCCCAGGCAATTCACATATGCAGCCCAGGCTGAAAACCATTGGTCTGGAGTTAGGTCATGGCATCTGCAGATTTTTAAAAGCTCCACAGGTAATTTTGATCTGCAGCCACAGCTGAGAGCTACCGCCTACACATCATGCTGCCTCTCTCTGGATTTTATAAATGGGAAAGCATTACTTTCTAAAAATAATTCTGTCAACAAGTATGGGAGTGTTCACCCAGGCACAGCAGCATACCCGTTGGGGGGATACATTATAGAAGAAACAATGGGGCCTGCTGTCACCTGATTTCTAATCTGTAACTAGCTGAGTGCTAACTTGTTCTTTGATTTTTGTCTGTCATGGGCTAGTTGGAGAATGATTTATGAAACTAGCAGACCAGGAGCCTTGTTTTGCAGCAAAGAGAAAGAGAATGAATGTCTTGCCTACTGAGCTAAGGGATGCCTTTTAACCTTTATGAGCTTGAAAAATAAAATCGTGCTAATGTGCATATTTTCACTTATGAATACATGAGAAAGAGTGGGGAATTAAAATATTAAAATACACAGCTTTCTGCAAGTTGTGAGAGATGGGCAAGAGGAGGAAGAAAAAAGACGATGCCTGTATATAAACCCCACATACATTTCATAACACCTCTCATGATCCGGAAATCAGGGAAAATTACATACCATGGGTTTATGTGTTGTTAGCTTTCAACATTTCCTAAAGTGAATTATCCAGAGTGTATCAGAAAACAACTTAATATTAGGGAGACATGTTCTTATTACTTTATGTAATAAGCCCAACTGAAAGCTGATGCATTAAACATAACTGTAAAAGTCATTTTGCCATTATGTAATTATTATGAGCACATAAATAGCCACTGTTAAGAATCAAGGAACAGGAACACTTAAGAGTAAATTATTTTAACATTGGGGGAAAACTTTTTATATGCACCGTGAAATTTGTATGCAATTAAATAATAGATGCCATCTACTGGGCACTTAACTTTGTGCCAGGCAGTCTTCAACATGCTTTTCACTTATTCTTCACAATAAAGAGATGAAATAGATACTACTATTATCATATTCTTCTTTTACAGAGAAAAAAAACTGAGGCACAGAGGGGCTAATCAACCTGCCCAAGGACACACAGCTAGGAAGTAGTAAACCGTGATTTAAATTCTGATTTCATAGCTGATGGTATACATAAAAAATAACGTTTTCCTGATGCTGATGTTATGTTGTTTTAAGCAATTGCATCTTTTTCATTTTATGAGACCCTGACATATGGTAATCAGAGAAAACAGATTTCCTGAGGGAAAGTCACCATTGCTCATCCCAAACTTAATTCCACAAGCTGTCTTTTAGTTTCTACTACTAAACACAATTTCTAAAATACCTTTCTCACAGTACTGACATCCAGAACAACAAATAGGAAAAGCCCCACTTATGTGTAAGCTACCATGCAGGGCTGGAAAATAAGCCAAACACAGCCCTTGTATCCCTTGTCTTTAAGAATCTTTTTAAAAATGCAGACGGATCCCCTAAATTTAAAATCTTTCTATGACTTTTTCCTCTTCACATCCCAAGCCCCCATGGTGAGAGCCGTCAGGATTTGGCCCTCCAGCTCCCGTTCCTCCTCTCTCCCTTGATGGGTTGAGCTTCAGCCACACTGGGCTTCTCCAGAGCTTTGAATGCTCCCAGTCCTTTCTAAGGTGAGGGTTTCCACAGGCACTGTTCCCACCACCCCACAAGAGTTCCTCCTTGCCTACTCTTGCTGCCACTGGAAACTCCTACCTGCAGTAGATGACTGCCCAAACATCCCTTTCCCAGGAAATTCTTCCCTGATGGGTGGGACCAGGTCCTGCCTCTCTGCTAGAATTTCTCACAGCCTCCTCTACTTTTCATTTCTGGAACCTAACCACTGTATGTGATCTTTATTTGTGTAGTCATTTGTTGAGTGTCTCTGTCTTCCATTAGGTTGCAAAGTCTCATGAGGAGGGAGGAGAACGTGTTGGTTACACTAGTCCCTGCATCTAGCATCTGATATTCTACCACATGGTAGACTCCAAATACTTGTTTTAAGATATATTCTTTCATTTATTTTTTATTTATTTATTTATTTATTTATTTTGAGACAGAGTCTTGCCCTATCACCTGGACTGGAGTGCAATGGCGCCATCTCGGCTCACTGCAACCTCCACCTCCCGGGTTTCAGCGATTCTCCCACCTCAGCCTCCCGCGTAGCTGGGAATACATGCACCCACCATCATGCCTGGTTAATTTTTTTTTTTTTTTTTGTATTTTTGTAGAGACAGGGTTTCACCATGTTGGCCAGGCTGGTCTTGAACTCCTGACTTCAGGTGATCCGCCCGCCTTGGCCTCCCAAAAATGCTGGGATTATAGGCGTGAGCCACCGTGTCCCCTCTTCTTCCATTTAAATGTCATCTATCCCTTTGGTCCCGGGGGTTGTAATGGCTCTGCTGTAACTGGGCCCAGGATTCTGCACTACCCTTTGTTCTTCCTCCACAACCCCCTCAAATTATCTTAATTTTCATGTGCCATTTATTTCCTGCTGGACCTTGACTGATACAGAGAAGAGTTAGACGGGCTAAAAAGAAAAAAGAAAAAACATGAGTGGTTCAGGCAGAGGCGTAGTGGTTCACAAAGGTGAATCCTCTTAAAAACCATTTTAACATTGTCATCTAAATACACAGTGCTAGGCATTTACCTGAAAATTACACGCATATTTGAAGAGTGAACTGATCCCAAGTCAGATTACATTGTATTAGGAGATGAAAGGCCCAATTCAATTCTTGTGAAACAGGCTCTAAGTCCCAAGTGCATCCAGCTCCTACTGCTTGGCTAGATGGTGATGGTGGGGCGGGGGGAGGGGCGTGCCCATTTACCTAAACCCCCACCACTCACCAAGAAGAAACACTGCGGAAGAAAAGAGAAGAAACGGCAAACTGTGGATAATGTCTTCTGTATTCTAGCAGCATCTTCTGTCTCCCTGCATACAAAAACACAGCCCCTCATCCCTGCAAGGACACTGCCTACTACTCCAGCTCAGATGGCCCCCTGGGAAGCAGCCGCTGGCTTCCTCCATGTGAGCATCTTCACAGTAGGAGCCAAATGAGACCAAAGTCACTTTTTTCATCCCCCCCAACCCCCACAAAGAATCTTAAACAAATAAAACTATTTTGGGGGGATTAAAACAACAGAAATTTATTCTTTCACAGTTCCATGGCTAGAAATCCAAAATGAAGGTGTTGATGGGACCATGCTCCCTCTGAAGCCTCCAGGGAAGAATCTTTGCTCATCTCTACCACCTTCCGGTAGTTGCTGGCAACCTTGTCATTCCGTGGCTGGTGCTGCAGCACTCCAGTTTCTACCTTTGTTGTCACATGGCCTTCTTCCTTCTCTGTGTGTGGTCTATGTGTCTCCAAATCTCTCTTCTCCTACGGAGACCAGCCACTGAATTCATGGCCTGCCCCAATCCAGTAGGACCTCAACTTCACTTGATTACATCTGCAAAGACCCTATTACCCAAGAAAGTCACATTCACAGGTACTAGGGGTTAGGGCTTGAATGTATCTTTTAGGGAGTGTGATTCAACCCACAACACTGCCTATGAATATAAAACCAATTATTTTCTTCTTTCCCCTTTCTCCTGTTTTCTATAAGGCATGTTGGTGGTGGTTCTTTCTTCTTGTTTTCTTAGTCCAGTTACAGGTGTGTCAATTTTGTTGGTAGTTATTAAATTTATAATCTAGCCTTTAGGTTATAGACTGTCTGGGTGGAGTTGTGGCTGAACTAGAAGCAGAATTAATATCTCCTAGGCATAGACATGGTAATGGATAGGATATTGCACCTTTCTCTTTTTCCTCTTAGTTGGAATAGTTGCTTGCTGTTGTTGTTATACATGGTGTTGCCATCCTTGCAATATGGAAGTTTAAGTAGAGTTTAAGTTTAAGTAGGAAGGTACTGAGGAACCAAAAGCAGATTCTTCTGGTTATTTGGGGGAGACTGGTGGGAGACTGCCTGAAGAAAAGAGGAGCCATCTTTGTTTTCTGCTTTTGATGGAGTTTCCAGAAGCTTCTGGGTTCCCACTCAGGAAACTGCAGCAGCACAGCTCCTGATGGAGCTCTGATTTTGGCTGTGGTAATGACAATGGTAGGTGACTTTGGATTCCTGTTTTCATTTATTCCTTTTCTAATGCTCTTTCTTTCTTTCTTTGGATCTGACTTTCTGACCTATATCATTTTTCTTTTTTCTGAAAATTTTCTTTGAATATTTCTTGTAAGGCAGGTCCATTTGTGACAAATTTCCTCAATTTTTGTTTGTCTGAGGAAGTCTTTGCTTCTCCTTCACTTTGGAAGGATAATTTCACTGGATACAGAATTCTATGTTGGTGGATTTATCCTCGGATATTTTAAATATTTCAATCTACTCTCTTCTTGTTTGCATAATTTCTGAAGACAGAAGTCCAATGTAATTATTGTCCTTATTCCTTGGCAAGTTAGGTGTTTTTCCCTTCTGGCTTCTTTCAGGATTTTTCTTTGTCTTTGGTTGTTCTGCACTTTGAATGTAATATGCAGAGGTATAGATTTTTGGGTATTTATCCTGCTTGGTGTCTTTTGAGCTTCCTGGATCCGTGGTTTGGTGTCTGTTATTTATCAACTTTGGAAACTTCTCAGCCATTACTACTTTAAATAGTTTTTTTCTGTTTGTTTCTCATTTTCTTTTCCTTATGGCACTCTCATTATACATATGTTATGCCTCTTGTAATTGTTCCACAGTTCTTGGATAATCTGTTTGATCTTTTTCTTTCTTTTTTTGTCTCCTTGCATGTTATGATGTGTTTTGATTTCTAGCATTTCCCTTTGATTTTTTTCTGAGTTGTCATCTCTCTGTTTACATTACCAATAAGCTCTTTCATGTTGTGTATTTTTTCCATTAGAGCTTTTAGCATATTAAGCAGAATTATTTTAAAATGCCTGGTCTGATAATTCTCAAGACTGTCATATCTGAGTCTGGTTCTGATGCTTTCTCCATCTTTTGAGACCATTTTTTTTTTTGCCTTTTACCATACCTTGTCATTTTTTGTTGAAAGCTGGACATGATGTATTGGGTAAAAAGAACTGAGGTAGTTAGGCCTCTAATGTGAGGCTTTATGTTTATCTGGCTGAGAGTTATCTGGCTCTGTCTGGTTGTGGTGTCAGAGGCTACAGTTTCTTCTAGTGTTCTCATTTTCATTTCTCCTGTTATCTTTCAGTTTTCTTAGCAACTCCTTGAACAGGGTCTGTGGTTTTATTTTCAATACGTTCAACTTTTTCCTTGTTGTTAGAACAAGAGTGATAACTTTTCAATCTGTTACAGGTCAGGCTGAAATTTGGAAGTTCAGATACAACTTTTAAAGTTTATTTTATAAAATCTGAAAAATACAGAAAATTATTAACTATAAAATAAAAATCACCAATAATTTTACTACCCAGAGATGGTGGGTGTATGTGCTTTCTATGCCTATAATGTGTATGTTTATGTGATATATGTAAAATCATTTTAATAGGATTATGCTATGTTGTGCATAGTTTTATAACTTTATTTACTCACAAAACATTGTCATATATTTGCCTATTTTGACAGAAGTGCTTATACTTAATTGCTTATTAATTGCAAATATTGCAAAATATTTGGTCAAATGAGCATATCATTATTTTGCTTATTTAATTGGAGTAATAGCAGAGAAGTTAAGGTCATAAACTCTGGAATTAGACTGCCTGGCTCAAATGCTACTTCACCCACTTACTAGCTACATGAACATGGGCAAGTCATTCAACCTCTCCATGCCTCAGTTTTCTCCCCTGTTAAATAGGAACATCAAGATCACCTATTGCTTCATTGTTTTGAGGATTAAGTAGGATAACAAAAATTAAGAAGACACATAGAGCAAGCACTTATTCGAGCATTTATTGCATTTCACTAGCAAAATTATTTTTAAAATAATGCTATTTTGCATCTTGTTTTGGGTGTAAAAATGCAAAATATTTTAATGCATGCTACAATGCACTTACTCAGCAGTAATTTTCCTGGGGACCAGGAGGACAGTATTAGTGTACAAATCTGGCTTGCCAGCTTTGGTTGTTTCTCCTTCTCATTTTATGAAATAAGGATAACAGCAATACTACATGTTCTGTCTTCTACCTGTGGAAAAACTCAGTCCTGATGACTTACAAAGCAAAGGATGTCAGAGGCCTGAAGGTTCATGCCTTACACCCAGAAACATGAATGGAGAAACAGTGGAGAAACGTTGGTGCTTTTATAGTTGAAATGCTAAACCAGACATTAAACTCAAACTCTGTTGGGTTATTATTGCATCATTTTCCATTCTAAGTTTAACAACAATGTCATATACAAACAAACAGATGTGTGAAAAAAAAACCTAAACTAAAAAAAATTAAAAACCTGAAACAAAAAGACACACAAAAACCAAAACCCTAAACAAACAACAACTTCAAACTCTTAAAGCCATTTTTTTGCCCTCAAAATCTCATGGTTTCTTAAGCCATTTTACTTTTTGTATGTCATTAATTTTTCACTTATGTAAATTCTGTGTATTCTAAGAATCCTTTCATTTGTGGATTTTATTCATTGGGTCCTTGTGAGTGTCCTGTGGGGCCAGGCTGAGTTCACTTATGTTTCCTAAGTGCTGTTTTTTGGTATAGTGCAGATTATCAGTCTTTATAAGCATAAAGGAGACCACTGTCCATTGGATCCACCAGTTCCAACCAAAAACCTCTGAGTCTTTTCTTCGTGTTTCCCTCCTTGTCACCTCCCACATACAATTAGCTGCCAAGTTCCTGTGCATTCTTCTGCCTCTGGAATGTCTTCCAAATCCATCCCACCTGGTACCATTCTAGCACAGGCCCTGATTGCTTATCCTGTGGCCTACTGTAATAGTCTCCAAGCTGTTCTTCTGATTTCCAGCCTTTCCTCTTCAAAACATTTCTCCATGTTTTGGCTTTCCCAAAATACTAATCAGATCATGGAACTCTCCTGGTTAAAGATGAAACCCAAATGCTTTTGAATATCATTCAAGGCCCACTTATATTCCTAGTCACATTTTTCCAGCCACATCTTGTGGCAATTCTTCCCCTTCCCAAACTTTCTCCTCCCCATCCCTTGCTTCCCAGGCTACCCTGCCTCATACTCCAGCCCCACCATGTCTTTCTACTTCATCCTTCAAGGCCTTCGAAGGCTCAGATATTAACTTTTTTTGGAAGCCTTCTTCCACTTTTCCTCTCTAGGCAGAATTAACTGCACCATCTTTTGTGCTTTCTTAGTGTCACGTAGGATAACCGGCTTAGAACCACATTACAGAGCAGCTGTGCTTGTATCTGTGAAAGAGCCAAATTGCCCCATAGAACCAATGTTAAGGGTTTTTTCTGAATAAACCTAGAAATTAACCTTCCCTGTCTTAAAACTTGAGAAAGTTACAATTGTCCTATCTGAGTTCCTTTCTCAGGAAACCAACCATCAGGCCCCCCAGAGAGTATCGAGGAACTGAAACTCAGAAGATCACAGCATCTGGACAATGAGATTCCAGACCCCTCACCCATCATGATTGCCTAACTAGCCACCTACTTCCTGTTGACTAACTCCTCTTCCTTACCCCTCCCTAATTCCTGTTTTCCTGCATATAGTTACACTTCTTCCCTGCTATATAAACCTCTGATTTTAGTTGGTCAGGTAGATGGATTTGAGACAGATCTCTCATCTCCTTGGCTGCAGCACCTGATTAAAGCCTTCTTCTCCTTCTTCATACTTATTGTCTCAGTGATTGGCTTTCTGTGCAGTGAGCAGCAGGACCGAGACTGAACTCCTGGTGTTTCAGTAACATCTGTATCCCCTTTTGGGTCTGAGCTCTAAATGCAGGGACTAATGTAATTTCCCTTCACTCCCCAAACCCGAGTAAATAGTATGTACTCAATAAGTGCCTTTTGAATAATTGGCATTCATTCAAGCCTAGTTTGAGATGCTGTATATTCTTGCAGGTAGTCACATAACTAATTTTGGAATTGAATGTTTGCTGTTCTCATTGTTTGTTGTTGTTATATTATACTTCTGCGGGCTCCAGTGATTGGAAATATGCTTCATTGGGGCAGGGCTATCGAGTTACTGCAAGGTCCATTTCCTTGCCTGCAAATGTCAATTCTTTTGCTGAGAGATACAGATATACATGTAAAATAACGTAAGTACTGAGCTGGAAGGATTCCTAGAGGTAGGTTGGCTTAGTGCTTTCATTTCATAGATGAGGAAACTGAGACCTAGACAGGTTAATGCTCTTGGCCAAAGTGAATGGAGGACAGAAATAGAAAAGAGATGTCATTTCAAGCAAGAGCACTTTTCATTAAATTAGAGCTTTAAGAAACAAAAGCTATGATTAAGACTTTTGCTAATTTAAATTACCCTTTTTCCCAGTTAGGCAGAATTAAGGAGCTCTAGCTGTTTACAATTTTTATTGTTGTTTGTTGTTTATTATTTTATTTTTGTTTATTATTTATTGTTTATTACAACAATTTTTTATTGTTGTTAACTTCTGCAACTTTTATTAGAATACACAGACCTACAAATGTTAAGGTGAAAATGGATCTTATTATCTTTTCTCACCACCTATCATCAAAGAATTCTGGTAATACATTAAGGTGAAGGAAGGTGCCCCTGAACTTGGAAACATCAGCCCAACAACATAAGCATCCATAAAAAAATTTGATGAGGCCAACTGTAAGAGTCACCTAAGAAAGAATATCTGGAAAGCCATCAAGACCATTTGAAGTAACTTGGCTATAATTTCACGGACATGTGATTAGAATGCGATTTTTCTAATCTTACTAAGAGTCTTTAACTCTTGCTTGCTAAGAGTCTTTAAAAGAGGAAATTACAGGGGAAGAATTTTTGTTTATCTGGTATTATCCAAGGGCTAGGACACTAGATCTGAGGTTAATGAGCCTCATAATCACTAGAGAGGTGTACTCTACGATAAGGTAAGGGTGGTTCATTCACAGGGCAGTGATTGTGCAGTGGCACGATCACAGCTCATTCCTGGGCTCAAGCAATTTTCCGGCCTCAGCCTTCTGAGTAGCTGGAACTATAGGGCTGTGCCATTGCACTCAGCTTTTTTTTTTTTTTTTTTTTTTGAGATGAGTTCTTGCTCTGTCACCCAGGCTGGAGTGCGGTGATGTGATTGTAGCTCACTCCAACTTCAAACTCCTGAGCTCAAGCGATTCTCCCACCTCAGGCTTCTTAGTAGCTGTGACTACAAGTATGGACCACACACCCGGCTATATTTGTTTTGTAAAGATGGGGTCTCACTATGTTGCCCAGGCTGGTCTCAAACTCCTGGCTTCAAGTGATCCTCCTGCCTCAGCTTCCCAAAATGTTGGGATTACAGGCAGGAACCACGAAGCCCTACTGTTCATGGGACTTGCCTATGGCCTACATAAAAGATCTCTAAAGGCAGTCCAGCCATCCCTTTTTGTTCTGATTCTGTGTACCCCAAAACCACCTTTGGTTCCACATTGGCTTTTCTGACATTGGAAAGAGGATGATCTAGATGATACGCTTTAAATTTTCGGCCACAAGAAAGAAATAGCTTCTATTACAAACTTTTAACT
The DNA here is from genome assembly GCF_000001405.40 of Homo sapiens. Lineage (NCBI taxonomy): Eukaryota > Metazoa > Chordata > Mammalia > Primates > Hominidae > Homo > Homo sapiens. The sequence continues at coordinate 16,815,075 of NC_000006.12, forward strand.
TGACATTATAGTTTATGTATCAGTCTCTTATTAGGTTGATTAATATGAACCAGACCTCCTGAATCTGGGTGCACTGAAAAAACAAATGTCTACATCTGCAAAGTTGAAGACCAGACTTTGGAATTTTCTGGTTACCATAGGATTGGGTAGTTCGTGGTCAGTTTTGTGTCTCCTTTCTTTAACTTCAACCTGGATTAGTGTATTAGTTTAATGATTCCTTTTGACTTAAAATATAACTATATTTTATTTATTTATTTACCTAGAGACGAAGTCTCACTCTGTCACCTAGACTGGAGTGCAGTGGTACAATCACGGCTCACTGCAGCCTCCACCTCCCGTGTTCAAGCGATTCTTGTGCCTCAGCCTTCTGAGTAACTGCAATTACAGATGCACACCACCACACCTGGCTAATTCTTATATTTTTAGTAGAGATGGGGTTTCATCATGTTGGCCAGGCTGGTCTTGAATTCCTGACCTCAAGTGATCCTCTTGCCTTGGCCTCCCAAAGTGCTGGGATTAAAGGCGTGAGCCACCATGCCTGGGGTTAAACTATATTTGAAACTGTTTTTTTTTGGGTTTTTTTTTTTTTTGAGAAGGAGTCTTGCTCTGTCGCCCAGGCTGGAGTGCAGTGGCACGATCTTGGCAAGTTCCACCTCCCGGGTTCACACCATTCTCCTGCCTCAGCCTCCCGAGTAGCTGGGACTACAGGCACCCGCCACCACGCCCAGCTAATTTTTTGTACTTTTAGTAGAGACGGTGTTTCACCGTGTTAACCAGGATGGTCTTGATCTCCTGACCTCGTGATCCGCTCGCCTCAGCCTCCCAAAGTTTTGGGATTACAGGCGTGAGCCACCGCGCCCGGCCTGTAACTGTTTTTTAATGATTCCTTTTAACCTAAAATATAGTTTAAGCTTAACTAACCTAAAATATAATAACCTAAAATATAGTTAACCTAAAATATAGTTTACCTATATTTCACCTATATGTTACCTATATTTACCTATATATTACCTATATTTACCTATATATTTTACCTATATTATAATTAACCTAAAATATAGTTAAGCTTGAACTATATTTTAGGTTAAAAGGAATCATTAAAAATTATGATAAAGGGAATTTGTTCCCAAACCAAGTTGTATTTTAATTAGAAATGTATATATTCTGCTACTCTCTCTTTCTTCTTCCACAGGACCCAAATTTGAAGCTGCTTCTCAGAGTACTGGGAATGGGTTTCAGGAGTCCCAAGAAAATTGCTCTCTCTAGTCACTGAGAATGGGGAGCAGGAGGACTGAGCTCTTTGAACTAGTCACTTACGGTCTGCATCCCTGCTCCCCACTGTCCTTACACAAATATCGTTTGTAATGTGTTATAATAGGAAAAAGCGTTGAGAAGCACTGGTCACCAATTTTAACTTACAAGAGAAGGGGAAGCACTACATCCCACAGTTAGTTGTCTGGCCACAGCAATGCCCAAAATGGCAGGGCAGATGGCAGCATTTTTCTCCAGAATTCCTGTTGGTTTGAGTTTGGAAACCCTAGGTTAGGCCTTTATGCTGCTACCTCTTATTGCAGTGTATCTGTGTTGGGCTTAGTTTTCCAACATCATGAATTAAACCTCGCCGGGCGTGGTGGCTCACGCCTGTAATCCCAGCACTTTGGGAGGCTGAGGCAGGCATGGTGAAACCCCATCCGTACTAAAAATACAAAAATTAGCCAGGCATGATGGCGTGCGCCTGTAATCCCAGTTACTCGGGAGGCTGAGACAGGAGAATCACTTGAACCCGGGAGGTGGAGGTTGCAGTGAGCTGAGATCGTGCCACTGCACTCCAGCCTGGGTGACAGAGCAAGACTCTTGGAAATAATTAATTAATTAATTAATTAAACCTCTACTCCCAGGGAAGGGAAAGCTGTAGGCACCAAATACTGTTTTTCCCCCCAACAAACACAGATCTCTGAGACTCTCAACTTTGCAAAAGAGCCCGTGGTGTGTCACATGCCAAGACTGAGGAGGCTTGTTTCTGGGCACACATGCTAAAGACCACAGACAAAATCGTTTCCACATGTGCTTCTGTGGTGTTATCTTCCGTTTTTTAGAATGTTTTCCAAAAACAGAGCAAATGAATGAATGAATGAATGAATGAATGAATAAATATAAGAAAACCTCCTGGGCATTGAAATATGCTATGTAAATTCCACAATGCTTTTATTAGACAATAATATCTGTGGCTGATGCATCCAGGTTTGTTCCAACAACTAAACTGGACAGGAAAAAAAAAGCTGTCTTTTGGACAAGAATTAGACTACAACCAACCACATAGAAAATTCTCCCTTGAAAAGGTTCACTTTTAAATTTTTTTAGGTCTCCATAAATAGAGCTTTATGAGGAGAATTTCCAGAAGGCTTTAGTGAAATTACAAGTACGAATTAGAACCATATAACCTAACACTGGATAATCATATACCAGGAAAAGGATGACTGTTCTTTAGGGAATTGTCTTTTATCATTTTCTAGTTTGGATTATATATTACCATTACCTATCTACCTATACTAAAAGCTACAATTATTTTTATTTTATATATAATTTACCAAATGTATAGTACACTAAATTTTATGTGTAGCATAGAATTACAGCAGTGATTCTCTTTCTGAATAATACCAGGGCTAGTGCTTTCTGCTGCCTTTACTGTTTTAGCCCAGGGTAGAAACATTCCATTCATACACAGATAACCTCATCTCCAAAGAATCAAAATGGTTTACTCTATGTAAGATATATATTTATGGAGAGAGACAGTGAGAATGAACGCAAGAGCATGAGCAAGAGAGAGAGGGAAAACAACTGGAAATGGGGTTCCCTTGAAAGAAGATTCCAAAGTCTCAGTAAGTATTTTTGCCACCTTTCTAGGCGCACCGATGCAGAACTACAGTAAACTTAAGGAAAAAGCAAAAGCACTGAAGTTGTGAAAAGGATGATGCAATTGGCACCATGGAAAGACCCCTTGAAGCTAGAATCCAATTAAGTCAGTTTCAAGTCCAAGATCTCCATTTATTGGACCTACAACTTTAGAGTTTCATTAAAAATCTCCAAGCACCATTTTTTGTCTTGAGCAAAAAGTGTTAAGATCTTAATATTAGTATTAAAATCTTAATATTAATATTAAGACATTAATATAAAACAGTCGAGATATAACCCCCTCCTATTTCACAAAGTTATTGTGACACTTGAATGAATGAATGCTATAAAGTTGTTTTGTCTACCATGACAAGAAGGCATTATTTAACTTAAAAAGCAAGCAAGCAAACAACTGCAGTTTCTTGAGCATCTACAAGCGCCAGGCATTGTATCAGATTCTTTGCATGCATTTTTGCTCTTCACAACACCTCCCGCCTCAGCCTCCCAAAGTGCTGGGATTACAGGTGAGAATCCCAGCCAAAATGCACCTGGCCAAAATGATCATTTTTTAAGTTGATGATAAACTACTTAAAAATAGAGCTGGGTGCGGTGGCTCATGCCTGTAATCCCAGCACTTTGGGAGGCTGAGGCGGGCGGATCACTATGTCAGGAGTTCAAGACCAGCCTGGCCAAAATGGTGAAACCCCATCTCTACTAAAAATACAACAATTAGCTGGGCATGGTGGCGTGTGCCTTTAATTCCAGCTACTCAGGGGGCTGAGGCAGGAGAATTACTTGAAACCAGGAGGCGGAGGCTGCAGTGAGATTGTGCCACTGCACTCCAGCCTGGGTGACAGAGCAAGACACAGTCTCAAAAACAAAAACAAAAAATGTTTTTAAGTAGTTACCCCGGTGAAGTAAGTATTGATATACACATGTATTGATATATACATGTAAGGATAGAGCTTGTTAAGTATTGATATACACATGTATTGATATATACAAGTAAGGATAGAGCTTCGACTCATATTTTCCACGTTTTTCTTTGCCTTCCTAACCCCTAGTAATCCCAGTCCTCAAATCTTGGCTTTGGGGCTGCTGAGTTTGGTGGGAAGAAAGAAACATCAGGCACCTTCACACCTGACTTTGTCTCCTCTGTCTCTGTAGCACTGAGTGGGTAGCAGGTTGGCACAGACATGGGGTGAAAAAGTTGAGCTAATCTTTAACTTTTTTCTACCACTCTTCTCAGATGTGCCAGACAATGAAAATAGACTGTGACCTTTTCATTAAAACAAAGTGAAAGCTGAAAGGATGACACAGTTCTCCAAGGTAGTAACCTGTAATGTTGTAGGCACCTTGAGTGCCCTCAAATTCTGTATTATCTCACCTGGCCCTTCTCTGCAGGTTTTGCTCTTTCCCGTGGTTTGCCCCTTTCTACTGAAGAGCCTGCTCCTCACCTATTCGTGCAATGTTTGTTTTTAGCCTGTGTTCTGAAATATCGATGTTCTAGCAGCCAACTCAGAATATGGCATAGAGTTTGTTCTGGGTGTTCTCCTGTCCATATCGATTGGATCAAAGGGAGATCCATCTGGAACCCACTTAATGTCCTTCCAGATGGTAAGCTTGCTTCCAGATGGCATGTTTAATAGGAGAAAAAGAAATCACTAAACACAAGCATCGTAGCGCTAGGGATGGCCCTGTAACTTTATTTCTTTCAGGATTCCTCAAGACATTAACTCTTTTTTTTGGTCTTAGATTTTCACAGGAAAAGTTTCCAATTCTCAGGGTGAAATTAGGGGCCTTTGGAGAGTTATGATGTTATTTATAGCCAAATACCAATCATCTATAACTGCGCACCTGCTTGTGGTGGTTTGAATCTTCTCATTTTAAAAGTTTAGATAAATTGATAAACCATTATCAAGCTGCACAAAGGGCTTAGGAGCCTCTGTTGTCAAAGTGCCACCTACTGGATGCAAGCTAATATTTGGCTGATCCTAAAAAGCAGAGAGCTTTCAGCAAGCCTGAGCCGCCTCCAGTTTATCATCAACTTAAAAAATGATCATTTTGGCCAGGTGCACTTTGGCTGGGATTCTCAACTGTAATCCCAGCACTTTGGGAGGCTGACGCAGGAGGATCTCTTGAGCCCAGGAATTTGAGACCAGCCTGGGCACCCCCATCTCTCCAAAAAAAATTTTTTTTAATTTTTATTTTACTTTAAGTTCCAGGATACATGTGCAGAACATAAAGGTTTGTTACATAGGTATACGCGTGCCATGGTTTGCTGCACCTATCAACCCGTCATCTAGGTTTTAAGCCCCACATGCATTAGCTATTTGTCCTGATGCTCTCCCTCCCCTCCTCATCCCCCAATACGCCCCAGTGTGTGTTGTTCTCCTCTCTGTGTCCATGTGTTCTCATTGTTCAACTCCCACTTATGAGTGAGAACATGTTGTGTTTGGTTTTCTGTTCCTGTGTTAGTTTGCTGAGGATAATGGCTTCCAGCTTCTTCCATGTCCCTTTTTATGGCTGCATAGTATTCCATGGTCTGTATGTACCACATTTTCTTTATCCAGTCTATCAGTGATGGGCATTTTGGTTGGTTCCATGTCTTTGCTATTGTAAATAGTGCTGCAGTAAACATACGTGTTCATGTATCTTTATAGTAGAATGATTTATGTTCCTCTGGGTATACACCCAGTAATGGGATTGCTGGGTCAAGTGGTATTTCTGGTTCTAGATTCTTGAGGAATCACCACTCTGTCTTCCACAATGGTTGAACTAATTTACATTCCCACCAACAGTGTAAAAGCATTCCTATTTCTCCACACCCTCACCAGCATCTGTTGTTTCCTGACTTTTTAATAATCTGTTGACCACATAGATGTCTTCTTTTGAGAAGTATCTGTTCATATCCTTTGCCCACTTTTTGATGGGGTTGTTTGTTATTTTCTTGTAAATTTGTTTAAGTTCCCTGTAGATTCTGGTTATCAGACCTTTGTTAGATGGGTAGATTGCAAAAATGTTCTCCCATTCTGCAGGTTGCCTGTTCACTCTGCTGATAGTTTCTTTTGCTGTGCAGAAGCTCTTTAGTTTAATTAGATCCCATTTATCAATTTTAGCTTTTGTTGCAATTGCTTTTGGCATTTTCATCAACCCCATCTTATAGAGATGGCAACCCTATTTTGAGGAGATGGCAACGCCATCTATACAAAAAAATAAAAATAAAATAAAAAATTAGCTGGCCATGGTGGCACACACCTGTGGTCCCAGCGACTCAGGAGGCTGAGGCACAAAGATTGCTGGAGCCTAGGAGGTTGAGGCTGCAGTGAACCACTGCACTCAAGCCTGGGTGACAGAGAGACCCTGTCTCTTAGAAAAGAAAATAAAATTTCCATTTGCAAGATAAGTGAGCCTACTAAACATCACAAGTTTGTGCCTCAAAAGAGGCAACATGCTTTCCTTTGAGCACAGGTTGGAGACTGGATGTTTGGAACCTGGCCTCCTAAGCAAGTACTACCAGATAGGACACATACTTCCTAACTCCTTTGCTGCTACCTTGGTAAATGTCCTTTGCTTCAGACTTTTCAACACACAAACTTGTGTGGCCTGGTACCTTCTATTCATTCAACAAAGAAATACATATTCATTCATTTTTTCATTCATTTTATCAAGGGTATCCTATGTGACAGGCCGTGGGCTTGGAGGTAGGGACACAGAATGATGATGGTGGGCAAATTTTCATTGAAGCCTGGATCATCCAGCTCTGAGCCCCTTCTTCTTCAGCACACATCCCTGGGACAGTGGGTTAGTGGAATTTGCACCTTTGCCCTGAACTTGCCCTTGCTCCATAGATGACACAGGGATCAACTAGGGGCAACCCCAATCAACCCTACAAGCTATGTGTGCTCCCTCATGGCCTACTGGCTGTCAACTCAGGAACGAAAGGTCCAGACCTCATCTAAAGTTCTCAGGGCCTGGATCCATAGACAAGGTAGTAGGTCATTCAACTTTGTTTTTTCTCCTGGCCAGTCAGAGATTGCAGGTATTTGCACATGTAGCCCAGCTGCCAGCTGAACAGTGCTCAAGATCAAAGAGTGATATGTGACAGGTCCCTGTGTGGTCACCAACACTGGCCGCTCCAATGGCCACAGGCCAAGTGCCCTAGCAGTCCCGTGGACTTTGGAGTTTGGATCCCTGCAGCCCTTAGTTACGCAAAAATTGAAATAAAGATTGTGGCGATGTAGCTAGGACTGATGTTTTCATTTGCAGTATCTATGAAGATAGGGTTTGCTTAGCAGAGTTCTAAAAATCCTATCTTCTTTGTATACTTAGTTAAAAATAAAGCGAAACAACAATATCCCCAAGACTGGGGGTAAGAGACAGCTGATAAATGCTTACATTTATTAAGAGGATACACAGTTCTCTTCATACTCTGTAATGCAGAATACACAGTAAGAAGAATTAATCTTACATTAATTAAGAGAACACACAGTTTTCAAGTAACCTGGAATGCTCTATAAACACCTATCAGGTTCATGCAACTATAGATCATTTTTATCTGTTTCTAAGCAAACATTTCTTAGGAAGATTTGGTTATTTTAGATCCACTTATCTTTATATCTAAAAGGGCTGGATTTGATGGACTGATTGCAATAAAGTCCGGCTCTTCACTAATTCAGATGGGTTCTCTTGCCCCATTATACTGAAATTGATGAGTTGTACTGTAGTCACAGAAAATCAGAGAGTTAGAAGGTGCTTTGAGGTCATTTAGCCTCCAGGCAGAGCTGTTCCTAAAACTATTTTAGACCTGTGGTGGCTTATATCTTTATCCTGCGATCTGTATAATCATTCCTATTAAATGTTGCCACCCTACATAGATCATGTTTTATTTTTGTCAAGTGCTTTAGCCCTCATTTGAAATATACCATCCACAGCCCTAGAATGATTATTTCCTTCTCTCAAATGAGGAGACTGAGGCACAGTGAGGACCTCTGATTGGCTTCATGTCTCAGAAGCTACTTGCTATAAGCTAGGAATAGAACTCTCATGGTCCAGCTCATTGTGAATAGCAACAACTTCTCCCAGTCTCAATTGCCTGCTCAAGTATGCTTCAGAGACTGCCTCTTCTCTTTTGTTTGAAGATGCGGGGTCCTATTCTCTAGCTTCCCGAAGATGTCCTAGTTCCCAAAGCATTCAGAACACTGCCACCTCCTGCAGTCATGCAAACCAGCAGGTAGGAGACGGGGGAGAGAAGGAAATAGGTGAAATAAAGGAGGGAGAGAAGCAGGAGGCATTGTCTTTTGGGTTCCCACAACCTGCTAGCGGGCACTGTCCCTTACACATCCCACTCGACTTTCAGTTCAGAAACAGGGCAAGGCTGCCCTTAGCAACTACTTCAACGGGAGCTATATACTGGCCCAGAAATAATAAAGCCAATTTTTTGAGTGCTTGTTAAATAGGCAACGTGCTGAGTGCTATCCCATTTCATCCTCACATCAACCACAGAGGTCAGTCATATTACTCTTTCCATTTTGTAGATGAGGAACCCAAAGCATAAAGAGGGGAAGTCACTTGCTGAAGCCCACATGGCCCATGTGCCTGTCTGACTTACAGGTGACTGATGACCAGTGCACTGAACTGCCCCTCCCGAGAGCTTGGGAGCAATGAAGCATGTTTCAGGTATTTCACACTTTTTAGACAGGCATAGGAGGTGCCCTGCTATTTTTGACACCTCTAAGTTCATAATGGACAATCAGACAAAGCTGTGCAAAAGTCAGGTCTGTGGATTATTGGAATTGGAATCTGTCACTGTTTTCAATTGTTCTTTTTTTTTGGACATAACGCTTTTTTTGCCCAGAAAGCGTGAAGCCCTTGAATGGACATGGTGTATCATTCCCAGGAGCTCTTTTGTCATTTCTGTTGGCAGAACTTAGAATTGCACATTTCACAGTCTGAATAGGAGTGCCAAAGTCCAAGGTTTGAAGAAATAAAAGGACCTACCCTTTTGAGTTTGTTTTCATTGACTCAGAAATAATTATATTAATAATGTGATCACCAACATTGTGCCAGGCACTGTGCTGAGCAGTAGGATAGAGGTGAACATAATGGGCTTGGCTTTTCTCTCATAGAGCTCATAGTCTAGGACAGGGTTGGCAAATAACAGCCATGGGCCAATTCTGGCCTGCTGCCTGTTTTTGTAAATAAAGTTTTATTGGAACATAGCTACACTCATCCATCTACAAATTGCCTAGAGCAGCAGAGTTGAGTAGTTGCAACAGGGATCATATGGCCTGCAAAGTCTAAAATATTTACTCTCTTGCCCTTAACAGAAAATGTTTACCAACCCCTGGCCTAGGATGAGATTTATTTTTCAAGTTTGGACATTTTTCTTTTGGATAGAACACATATTTATTCCCAAACTGATCAACCGTTAGGATTCTTTCATTATAATAATAAAGTAACCATCAACATTCACCGAGTCTTTGCTACTTGCCGGGCAGTGTTCTAAGCACTGCATGTGCATTAACTTAATTAGTTCTCACAATAACTCTACGTGGTAAGCATTATGATTACGCCCATTTTACGATGAGGACTGGTTAAACAACCTGAACAGAGGGCACAGCTAGAAGTAGCAGCACTGGGATTTATGCTCTGCCAAGCTGGCATGTGCTCTTCTCCACTAAGTTAAATTGGAAGAGGCAGCAGAGTGTGGGTTGTACCCAAGCAGGTAAGAGAACAGGAGGAAAGTCCACACTGGAAGTGGCTGGACAGTGCTGGTCTAGTGACTATGGGGCCTATTTTTAGCCCCAAGAAAATCCTGGAGGATGAGTCTCTCTCTCTCTTAATTTTATACTCAGACACACTCTGATTAGAGGGGGATGCAATCGCTGCACCTCGCTCTGAGCTTCCCTGTAATTAAAGTGCTTCTCAGACGTGGATGTGTCTAATGTCTGCTAATGCTGATCGGTGGAAGATGCTTTGAAACTTAGTGAGGAAAAAAAAAAGGAGAAGCATTGGTTTATTTCGTCAGAAAGAGGAAATGGCAAAGAAGGACCCTCTTGACAGCTGATTCCTGTATCACTCTCTTGGGGATTCCCAAGACCCTAACTGGTATACTCCTCCTTTTCTTCTGACATCCCCTGAATTCCTCCTCCCCAACTTCAGAATATTCTCATCCCTCCCCCAATGAATATCTTTCTAAGACTGGAGGCCCCTCTTGGGGTTCTCGATACATGAATACCAGGACCACAAAACTCATAGCAGGGTAACTCCCATATCTTAGTAGGGGAGGGTAGTTTCCTGAGTTCAGGAAGCAATCATAACAGAGTAGAGAAGGCTACGTTCCTTATATACTTCCCCAATCATCACAGAGGCATACCCCAAGGTTACCCACATTTTCTTATGAACATGACATTAGTTGGCAAGGTTAGCTGACTTCTCCTTAGTGGGAAGTTTTGCTTATGCCGACTTCTCCTTAGTGGGAAGTGGGTGCCCATGTAGAATCACTGGTCTTCTTCACAGGAACTTGTAGAAATGTAGCTTGTCATAGAAATGTTTAGAGGATCTTTTCTGTCTCTCATGCACTGGGGTAATTGGAAAAGGAGATGTGGTGCTGATTGATATAGAAAATCAGAACCACCCACGTAGGCTTTCCCCTGGCATGGGAACTTACACTGCCAAAGCTTCATCGTGCCTTCTCTGAACATGGACCCATTGCTTCTTGCACTCAAAGCGCTGTGCTACAGGTACATACAGTGGGATGCTCACCTAATGAATTTTCTAATAGTTATTCCTTGTTTCAGACATCAGCCTGAGCTCCTGATATAACCTTGATAAAACCATAAGTATAACAAGCAAATGTATATATGGTCTCTAAAATAGGCATGGGATTACGAAAAAGCAAAAGGCACCTGCTTTTAGGTCTGACAAGCTATTCACTCCATAAAATTTTTGCACCGCAGTTCCTGCTGTTCTGTAAAATCCTTGGGAGGCCTTGCATTTCATATGCAAGCGCTACCAGCACGGCATTCGTAGAACATTTAAATAGCCTGTCTCTATAGAATTAGCTAGACAGCCAGCATTGGAGAAGCTGGGAGATAATTATGTCTCCCATAAAATGAAGATTCTGTTCTAAGGAGGGAATGTGGCCAAGATGCCAGGTATATTTTTTCTTTTTCTTCGTATCTTGGCCATCTCATGCCAAGACACATTCCAAGCCACCCTTTTGCTCATGTTTCTCTCTTTCATGAAATGACTTTATTCTCTCAGAGTTCACTAGTAACGTTAATGCTAAAATGATACAGATTTCATTTCCCCCCAAGATTTTATGTGAGATACACTTTGGGGCTCATGCATAACTCCTTTGAAAAGAAATTTGTGACACGGAATGATCTTGTTATCTGTTTCTCTTTTTATTTAGCTTAAAATTGTCAAATTAACAGGTAGAAAAGATTCAAGCTTCCTAGTTTAAATTTGTGCCAAATTGGCCGGGCGTGATGGCTCACACCTGTAATCCCAGCACTTTTGGAGGCCAAAGCAGACGGATCACAACGTCAGGAGCTCGAGACCATCCTGGCCAACATGGTGAAACCCCATCTCTACTAAAAATACGAAAAATTAGCTGGGCATGGTGGCGCATGCCTGTAGTTCCAGCTACTCGGGAGGCTGAGGCAGAACAATTGCTTGAACCCGAGTGGTGGAGGTTGCAGTAAGCCGAGATTCTGCCACTGCACTCCAGCCTGACGACAGAGTGAGACTCTGTCAAAAAAAAAAAAAAATATGCCAAATTGATTCAGAGTTAACATATTTTTGAAAGGGTTACCTAATTAAATCTCAAATGACTCTTGCTAATGTTCGGCACTGTTTCTGATTCCAGCTACCCTGTCAGACTTTGAGAAGTTAAAGTACTAGTGACTAGAAAAGTAAGAGAAAAGAAGATGAGGAAAAGAGAATTAGGAGATTGATTAAATTCATGCCCTTTATGTGGTGTGTTTAATATAGCAGGCATTTTACATCAGTCCCCCAAAAGAAAGGCATTATTTTAAAGAAAATAGATTGGCTACCTCCAGTGATATCCCTGGATATTGTAGCTATCACAGAGGACTGCCATGCACAGTTGTTCGGTTGAGCACTGCACAGCTCTCAGGAGAATCATTCCTTACATAAACTGTGTGTATAGACCTGACCACCGACACTTCTTCTGTGGCACTGACCATGCTTGGCTCCCTCTTTTCCCTCCCTAGCTGTGGTCTGTACTCAGTCCTCCAATCAGGCCCATTTGTAGCCACTTTGCATCCTAGTCTATTGCAGTTGGCTTCCTGAGGGTCTGGCCACACAATCCACTCTTCTAGTAGGTCTACCCCATTCTGAAGATAGAGATTTGGATTTCTGCTTTGCTCCTAGCAATCCCTAGTGACTTCCTGGTGCACCTGCTTCTTGGGTCACCATTACGGGTGCTCATGTTTTTGTTTCCAGTTCTTCCCTTACGCCCAGACCCCAGGTTTTCCTGTTTGCCTAGAACCATTTTGTCCCAGGTATATCTGGAAGCAAGAAGGGAATTCCTGTAATTCTCCCTCATTTAGAAGGTAGAGGAAGAGGGAAGAGGAAAGAAGAAAGGAATACCAAAGTTATCTTCCAGAAGACCCAAACCTGTCCCATTTTAGTTCACCTTGTCAAGTAGTGGTTCTGACCCTTATCATATTTTTTATCATAGAATCTGCAGACTGCTACAGAATCTTTATTTTGAGCTTAATGTGATTTGAAATGGTCCTTTCATTAACTCCATTTACATCTTCCTCTGAGAAGATCTTAAGAAAGCTTGTTTCAGTTTCCAAGGAAGAGACAACAAGTGCCACTTGTCTCATTATAGGTGTACCTCAAAGATATTGTGGGCTCAGTTCCAAACCACCGCAATAAAGCAAATATCACAATAAAGAGAGTCACATGAATATTTTGGTTTCCCGGTACACATAAAACTTAATTTACACTATACTGTAGTCTATTAAGTGTGCAAAGCATTATGTCTAAAAACAATGTATATACCTTAATTTAAAAATACCTTATTGATAAGAAATGCTAATGATCATCTGAACCTTCAGTGAGTCATTATCTTTTTCCTGGTGGAAGGTCTTGCCTCAAGGTGGATGGCTGCTGACCGACCAGGGTGGTGGTTGCTGAAGGTTGGGTAGGCTGTTGCAATTTCTTAAAATAAGACAACAATAAAGTTTGCTGCATCTGTTGACTCTTCCTTTCATGAAAGATTTCTCTGTAGCATGTGACACTGTTTGGTGGCATTTATCCACAGTAGAACTTCTTTCAAAATTAGTCAACCCCTCTCAAATCTGCCACTGTGTTATCAATTCAGCTTATATAATATTCTAAATACTTTGTTGTCATTTTAACAATGTTCATAGCATCTTCACCAGGAGTAGGTTCCATCTCAAGAAACCACTTTCCTTGTTCATTCATAGGAAGCAACCGTCATTCATTCAAGTATGATAATGAGATTGCAGCAATTGTCACACTTTCAGGCTCCCCTTCTAATTTTCCCTTTCTATTTTTACCACATCTGCAGTTCCTTCCTCCATTGACATCTTGAACCTCTCAAAGTCATCCATAAGGGTTGGAATCTACTTCTTCTAAATTCTGGTTAATGTTGATATTTTGACCTCCCATGACTCACAAATATCCTTAATTGCATCTAGAATGGTGAATCCTTTCCAGAAGGTTTTCAATATACTTTGCTCACTGGAAGGCTAGATTTTTGTTTTTTTTTAGATGCCAGTTCTCACTCTATTGCCCAGGCTAGGGTGCAGTGGCATGAGCATAGCTCACTGCAGCCTAGAACTCCTGGGCTCAAGTGATCTTGCCACCGTAGCCTCCCAAGGACCTGGGACTACAGGTGTGCACCATCACACCCAGATAATTATTGTTATTATTATTTGTAGAGACAGGGTCTTGCTGTGTTGCACAGGCTGGTCTTGAACTCCCGGCCTCAAGTGATCCTCCTGCCTTGACCTCCCAAAGAGTTGAGATTACAGGCATGAGCCACGGTGTCTGGCCCTATTTCTCAAATAATAAGACTTGAAAGTTGAAATTACTCTTAAATCCATGGGTTGCAGAATGGATGCCATGTTAGCAGGCATGAAAACAACATGAATCTACTTGTACATCTCCATCAGAGCTCCTGGGTGACCATGTGCACTGTCAATGAGCAGTGATATTTTGAAATAAATCCTTTCTTCTGTATAGTAAGTTTCAACAGTGGGCTTAAAATATTCAGTAAGCCCTGCTGTAAACCGATGTGCTGTCATCCACGCTTTGTTTTTCCAATTACACAGCACAGGCAGAGTAGATTTAGCCTAATTCTTAAAGGCCTCAGGATTTTCAGAATGGTAAATGAACATTGGCTTCAACTTAAAGTCACCAGCTGCATTAACCCCTAACAAGAGAGTCAGCCTGTTCTTTGAAGCTTTGAAGCCAAACTTTGACTTCACTCTAGCTATGCAAATCCTAGATGGCATGTACTTCCAATAGGAGGCTGTTGCATCTCCACTGTTGTTTGGTGTAGCCATCTTTATCAGTGATATTAACTAGATCTTCTGGGTAACTTGGTGCAGCTTCTCTGTCAGCACTTGCTGCTTCACCTTGCACTTTCATGTTATGGAGAGAGCTTCTTTCCTTAAACCTCATGAACCAACCTCTGCTAGCTTCACACTTTTCTTCTGTACCTTCCTCACCTCTCTTAGACTTTAAAGAACTAAGGAAAGTTAGGGCCTAGATCTGGATTAGGCTTTGGCTCAAGAGAATATTGTGGCTGGTTTAATCTTCTATCCAGACCACTCAAACTTTCTCCATATCAGCAATAAGTCTCTTTCTTTCTTATAATTCATGAGTTCACTGGAGTAGCACGCTTAATGTTCTTCAAAAACCTTTCCTTTCCAGTCACACCTTAGCTGTTTGTTGCAAGAGGCCTAGCTTTTGACCTATCTCAGTTTTCAACATACCTTCCTCTCTAAGCTTAATCATTATTAGCTTTTGATTTCAAGTGAGAGACATGTGACTCTTCCTTTCACTTGCACACTTAGAGGCCACTGCAGCATTAACAGTTGGCCTAATCTCAATATTGTTGTGTCTTAGTGAATAGGGAGGTTCAAGGAGAGGGATAGAGATGGGGGAACAGCTGGTAGAGTAGTCAGAACACACACCACATTTATCATTTAAGTTTGCTATCTTCTATGGGCACGGCTGGCGGCACCCCAAAACAACTAAGTCAAAGATCACTGATCACAGATAACCAGATATTATAATAATAATAAAAATGTGTAAAATATTCCAAGAATTTCCAAAATGTGACTCAGAGACATGAAGTGAGCACATGCTGTTGCAAAAATGTCACCAATTGACTTGCTGGACACAGCGTTGCCGCAAACCTTCAATTTGTGAAATACACAATATCCAAAAAGGGCAGTAAGGCAAGTGCAACAACATGAGGTATGCCCACATTTGGTTCTGCTAAAAATATTCCACAGCCACCTTTAGAAGCCACACTTTGTCTTTGGAGCATTGGCTGGCTGCCTCTCTATCATACCAACCTCTCTTGGTGCTTTCTTTTTCTGTCTTCTATTTTCCTTTTTTGTCCTTCCCTTTTTTTTTTTTCCCCCAAGCAATCAAGGGACCATTTTCTCTAGAGCTGAAAGGGACCTCAAGAAATCGTCTAATTCAGCGCTTTGCATTGCAGCAAATAAGATGGTTTAATCCTCATTTTACAGAAGAGGTAACAAGTCCAGGCAGAAAGAAAGAAAGAACAAAGAAACTTGCTTCAAGTCACACAAACTCCTAGAAGTCGTGAGCCAGTGTCCTCAACCTCGGCTGTGAATTAGCATCGCCTGGGGACTACGCTTCCAGAGTAATCGTGTAAGAATCTTAGGATGTTGTTTCTGAGTCTAATACACACCAGAAGCACCTGGAGGGCTCCTCAAGAACAGATGGCTGGGCCTCCCCAGAGTTTCTGATTCAGCAGGCCTGGGTGAGACCAGAGAATCTGCAGGTACAACAAGTTCCAGGCGATGCTGATGCTGATGCTGTGTGTGCAGGCACTGCACTGTGAGACCTACAAGGGTGGGAAACACCTTTATGGAGGGGCAAGTCAGCAAAGGGAGACCCGCTTGGTGGCGAGTTGGTGATTTTCTGGCCCACTTCAAAGTGTTCCGTCCAGTCCCCAGTCAGTGGTCCAGGAACCCTAGCCCATGTGAAGAGCCTCATATTCCGCAACAAGTTTGCAGACAGGAAGTGTGCTGCACTCACAGGGTTCTCTGTCATTTTGAATCTTCCCCAGGCTGTGTGCTGTCCTGCCAAGTTTAGCCGATGCCTGCCTGTCTTCAGGTCCCCATGGCTTGGTGCCCAAGATGCAGAGGGCATGTCAATCTCTCTGCCCTGTCCCTTTGCTCCTTTTTTTTTTTTTTTTTTTTAGACAGAGTCTCGCTCTGTTGCCGAGGCTGGAGTGCAGGGGCACGATCTTGGCTCACTGCAAACTCCGCCTCCCAGGTTCACACCATTCTCCTGCCTCAGCCTCCCAAGTAGCTGGGACTACAGGCACCCGCCACCATGCCCGGCTAATTTTTTGTATATTTAGTAGAGAAGGGGTTTCACTATGTTAGCCAGGATGGTCTCAATCTCCTGACCTTGTGATCCGCCAGCCTCAGCCTCTCAAAGTGCTGGGATTACAAACTTGAGCCACCACGCCTGGCCTCTTTGCTCCTTCTTGCCCTGTACTGTTTGTTGAAAATGCTCACTTGCCAGGCTGCTAGGCCTTTTTGCCTCCTGTCTACTTCCCTATAAGGACCAGCCTTAGAAACTGATCATTTCTGCTTCAAATATCCACATTTCTCATGGCTCACTAACTAGATTTCTCATGTTGCTCTGAGAGAGATCTCTTTTTCCAATCTATTTGCTGAGCAGAGCTGATTAACTTACTTCATTAATTCGTCAAACATTTATTGAGTACCCAATATGTAACTAGCACTATCGTAGGTTTAAAGGTAAGGAGAAAAACAAAAGTTATTCCCTTCCCACAAGGAGTAGCAGGGGAGACAGGCTTTAATACAAATCCCAGTTCAGTGTGACAGATGCAAAAATAGAATCGCGTGCCAGGTATGGTGATATGTATCAAGGCAGGAGAGTGTGATTAAATTCTGAGCCCCAGGCTGAGCTTGTCCAGCCCTCCATTTAACTGGAACTTGGGCTTGCAGATTTCCTAATCATTACTGTTTGGCAATACAACATTGATTTATATACACTGGGTTGTTAACCAACACAAGAGGGCAGAGAATTACTCTTTCACAGCAGCATGCTGTTCAGGGCAGTAGGAAGTTTGCACATTGGAAGGGGTTTCACATGGGATATACGATGCTGAGTAAGAACGGGGATTTCAGAGGCGGAGTGTGAAATGAGTGAGGGGTTAAGTGACACACTCAAGGAGCAGGGTTGGAAGTGGGAGAGCAGAGAGCCAACAGGAGAGGAAGTGCTCACTGCTGAAAGGGAAGAGCTTAGAAGTGGTGAGCTGGAACCACCCTAACTGCTGAGGTCCTGTCCCCACCATGGGGCTTCCTCCTAGGCACTGCTTGGCTGTTGCCCATTTTCCGAGGTCACTTGGATTGAGAAAATAGAGGGAGTAGCTAAGAACCCTGAGGTTGGTCCCAACCTGGGAAGATGACCTGCAGGGTGGGTGACCACCAGCAACTCCGCAGAGGACATCAGCATTTCAAGGTGCTTCGGTCAGTTGAACAAAGATGCCAGAAACAAACAAAACCCAGCTCTTGAAGGATCACCCTGGGAGGAAATGCCAAGTGCCCAGGACCAAGAGAAGAACTGGCCACTCAAACACTCTGGAGAGGTGGTGTCCAGACCACAGAGCGTACGTGTAGTTGAAAGATTAAGCGAAATCCTGAGATGCATGCAGACGAATGCAGGGGGTTGAAAATGACTCACAAAGCAATCCTCTCATTACTTCCAATGATTGACTGACCCTTTCTGGGATATAGGTGCTTCATTCTATGCCGTGGGTGTGATTAAGTAGGATTTTTGTAAACAGAATTCTTTTTAAAATATGCCTAGACAAGTTACTGGTTAAAGAAAGGCAAAAGATAGCTAATCTTTATTTACAAGGATTGAATTTTTTTCATGAGTTTTTTTATTATTAAGAAGTGGGATCAATCCTTCAGCAAAATTGTTCAGGGGACAAGATCTTTTTTGAATATGTTCAGCTTTCTATAGCTTGCTGAGAAACCTCTAGCTTCTGATGAGCTGCCTGGTTGCCCAGAGCACCTATTGGTGGGTTCTTTAACCAGTTTTATCCCTCCCCTCCAACCTCTCCTCACCCCAGAGAGGCCTTTCCTGATCTATGTAAGTCTTATAAAAAAAAAAAAAAAGTAAGTTACCTGTTCTATATCCCATTCTCTAAGCATGCTACTCTTTGCAAACGTGGTAAGAGTATTAATGGATTAAGCATTTATGGGAACATTTGGTAAAGGCTTTTGAACTAGTGCCTTAATCCAAAGGAATATTTATAATGGTCTTGTGGAAGATAGTTAGAGGAGGTATTTTTGGCTTAGGAGGTTTTCTAATACTCCCAAACACTCCAGCCAGTAGCTCCTACTGGGAGCTGGACATGAGTTGAAAAATTCCAAATCCAAATGAATTATATCTACTCAAAGCTCCATCATGAAAGAGGCTCAGAGGAGAGCAACAATAGCCCTTAGTACTGGAAAATAATTTCGAGAAAAATTAAAAGAAATGAGACTCTCCAGAGTGGAGAAGAGAATGCTAGAGAAGAAAAATTAATAATACCTTAAAGTTATGTCTAGCACAATGGGGGTCTAATAAAAATAGAACGTAAGACCGGGCACAGTGGCTCTCACCTGTAATCCCAGCACTTTGGGAGGCCGAGGCAGGTGGATCACCTGAGGTCAGGAGTTGAAGACCAGCCTGGCCAACATGGTGAAACCCTGTCTCTACTAAAAATACAAAAATTAGCTGGGCGTGGTAGTGCGCACCTGTAATCCCAGCTACGCAGGAGGCTGAGCCAGGAGAATTGCTTGAACCTGGGAGGCAGAGGTTGCAGTGAGCTGAGATTGCACTATTGCACTCCAGCCTGGGTGACAAGAGCAAAACTCCATCTCAAAAAAAAAAAAAAGAATGGGAACTGCATGTGTAAGGTTAAATTCTCTACGGGGCACCTTAAACAAAATAAAAAGAAACCATTAAAATTAGTTTTAATAATATATTTTCTTTAACCCAACGTCTTGGAAAATTATTATTTCAATCAATATGTAATCAATTAAAATGATTTAAATGAGATATTTTACATTCTTTTGTTTCATGCTAAATCTTGGAAACTGAGTGTGTATTTCCTACTTGATTTGCATTTCCATCTGGACAAGCCCATGTTCGAGGCTCAGTATCACATGGGCCTGGTGGCTATGGTGATGGGCAGTACAGATCCAGCCCTGGAATGAGCCTCCTGCTTAGCTGTCCTAAGTGGCTGTTCTGAGTGTTCATGAGGTGGAAACGAGAAGGAATTTCAGTTAGGCTGGTGAAGGTGGTTAGGAAAAATATGGAGGCCTTAAGAGAGTCTGATTTAAACAGTCTGACCTTGGGCCTGGACCTGAGTATTTCTTAAAAGGTCCCCAGGTGATTCTAAGGTACAGCCAGGGCTGAGAGCCACTGGGCTAGAGGAAGAATTTCCACAAAGTGAGAGCGTTTACACACTGAAGTGAACGCTTTAGGATGGTTTCCTCATCTCTTGTGTCGAAGTTTCAGAACTGAGAGGAGACTGAAATATCATGGAGTCCAAGCCTCATTTTGCAGATGATGGAAGGTCAGCATTGGGTTTTAGTGTTTGGGGCTTATTGATGCTTTTGTTTGCTTGTCTGTTTACTTCCTCAATTCCTCCTCCCCCCTCCTTTTATTTATTTATGTATTTATTTATTTAGACGGAGTTTTGCTCTTGTTGCCCAGGCTGGAGTGCAATGGCGCCATCTCGGCTCACCGCAACCTCTGCCTCCTGGGTTCAACCGACTCTCCTGCCTCAGCCTCCTGAGTAGCTGGGATTATAGGCGTCTGCCACCACGCCCAGCTAATTTTTTAAAAATATTTTTAGTAGAAACGGGGTTTCACCGTGTTGGCCAGGCTGGTTTTGAACTCCTGACCTCAAGTGATCCACTCGCCTTGGCCTCCCAAAGTGCTAGGATTACAGGAGTTAGCCACCGCATCCAGCCTCCTTTTCTTTTTTTTTAACCTGGAAGAGGTTTTCAAACTCTTTTTCAGTCTAGGGTGAATTTAGAGGGATGTGCCATTGTTTCCCAACACCCCAGCCAGGTACCTTTAAATTGTGAGGTGCCACTGGGTGCACAGGCTGAGGGTGAGGTTTCGGGGAGGTTCTCTGTTGATTCTTCCTCTCCAGAGAAGGGCTCAGTCCTGAGGCTATGATTCACGCCCCACATTTGCAGGGCTATTGCGCCTTCACGAGTTCTTGCTAACATAATGGGCAATTTCTGCCAGAAAGTTAAATATTTAAAAATCAGAAAACATGCCTTACTGCCAGGTCAGAGCAATTGTTTTGTTTGTTTGTTTGTTTGTTTGTTTTGAGGCAGAGTCTCGCTCTGTCGCCCAGGCTGGAGTGCAGTGGCGCGATCTCAGCTCACTGCAGGCTCCGCCTCCCGGATTCACGCCATTCTCCTGCCTCAGCCTCCCGAGTAGCTGGGACTACAGGGGCCCGCCACCACGTGCGGCTAATTTTTTTTTGTATTTTTAGTAGAGACGGGGTTTCGCCGTGTTAGCCAGGATGGTCTCTATCTCCTGACCTCGGGATCCACCCTCCTCGGCCTCCCAAAGTGCTGGGATTACAGGTGTGAGCCACCGCGCCCGGCCCAGAGCTGTTTTAATAAAGGTCATAGTTGGGGTTCGCTGTGTTTGACAAGATTCCGTGTACAGTTGACACATAAACGTCACCATATTGTGAGATCTGAGTACAGCATCCACAGAATGTTGCACCCCCATGGAGGGTGACAGGACCTATGCTGAAACCCGACTTGTCAGGAGCTGGGATAGCAACTTTCTCCCTTACTGTACCTATCCTTCAGTGCCTCTTTTATAAGACAATAAATCCCTCTCTTTTGCTCACTCTTGTTTCTAAAAGTGGGTCACTCTCCAGCGCTTGCCTTTCAGTTTCCGGGGAATGTCTACTGTCTTCTATGTTCTTGCTTAGCAGTTCAAGTCAAAGAGAATAAAAGAGAGAGAGAGACTAGCCACTTAGGTCATAGAAAGAGTAAGCTGGAATTTTGTCCTTTGCTCTTTAAGGCTTTGAAACTGATTTGTATGGGATCAGGTTTGTACCAGAAAGGCTAGGGACAGCTTATTATTTAGCTTATTCTTCCCTGGTTCTAATAGGTCTATTAACCAAGATTCTTAAGAACCTTCTCCTAAACCTCTTTAGAAAAACAACACAAAAAAGCCAAACCCACAGTAATTGCTGTCTGGGGCCTCTTTCTGAGGATCCCAGAGGAGGTTTACTGGTGATGAATACTGGAACCCCGGAAAAGAACAAATTGGTCTCACAAGCAGCGAGTGACAGCCTTTCTGAATACAGCTGCTTTCTTCATTAGAAAACTAAAAATAGCCCTGATCATTGCAGGCTGGTTTCACTTTAAGCCTTCTGCCACATCCATTTGTCTGTTTCATTGAGGGTTTCTGCATGTCTGTGACACCGTGATACTATTTCAGACTGAAAGTGCGTTGAAGAAATGTTTCCTTTCCCTCCTCCATGTTCAGTCCAGTGTCTGCAACTGTCCGACACTGTCTCATATGAGGGGACATCACGGGAATCTTCCGGCATCCTTGCCATCCCCATCTGCTTCACTCATTTTTGGAAAAATAAACACCATCCACACTGCTAGCAAGAATCTACAATTATTTTGGTTTTGGTTTTTTTTTTTCCCCAAGGAAATGTTCATTGCCCGTGAGGTTTTCTATGGGTAGCTCATGAAATATGTTGCAGTGACTACACTTTCCAACTGATGTAGGGTTTTACTAGGTTCTCTACTCAGGCTTAGCTTGAGGAGACACTTTCTTTTTTCCTGTAGCCGGCTGTGTTTGTGGCCACTAGTAAAGCCAGTTTCCTTTCCAGCTCCAAAAGGGATAGGGAAACCCATTGGAGGGTAGCCTCTGTGAGTCCATCCATCTGATCTGGGAGAACGTTTGCTGAGACCTTTCCCTCCCTAATGAAATTGGTTTTGAGTTATACTTGGAGGTGGCACCATGACTATAGCAAGGTGGGTTCCTTGTGTGGTTTAGAGCAGTCTGACATCCTTATCCTTCACCCTTTCAGCATCCAGGGTATTGAGGAAATGGAACATAAAAGAGGCAAAAATTGGGGGAAGAACGAAATAAATCAACCTACTGCTTAATACTATTCATTTACAAAAGGTGTACTCACAAAACACGCATACGAACTCATAACAGGAATCATTTACAATTAAAATGTGGAAAATAAGCCTCAATCTTAAATTCGATTCACATTGTGTATACATTTGTATATACAAAAGTATGATTTTAATGGCTTTAATAGAACTGAAAATCCTAAAGATGAGAGCTAATGTTGCTATGGAAACTTTGCATGTCTTGACTGCAGAACTCTTAGTTTAAATTTGCAAACTTAGTATCACATTAGCTTTGTTCACATTAGATTTCTGGTTGGTCTTTTAAAAAGATAAAAGGAGAAAAATGACTTATCATCTTAGTGCTTCCTGTTATACTCATAGCCAAAGGAGAGGGTGGTTTGTGATCATTTGACACTTTTTTTTTTTTTGGCTGAACAAGGAAACCTCCACAAAGGCGCTTACATAAGGGCTATGCAGGGTGAAGATTTTGTAGCCAAGCATGATTTATTCAGTTTGAAAATTTTCAAAATTTGAATGGCTTATTTTTCTCATAGAATTTAGATGTGTAAGCATGATTCGACAGCCAGGTGGTTCATGGATTTAAAACTAAATTTTACAGAGCTCGAAGCCCTTTAAAGAGTGGAAAAGCGACGGAGCACAGCACTCAGAGGCACGGAGATGCCTGCAGCCCTGTGCTCATTTGCTGCCACCACGCACTCTACTGTACTATGGAATTGGGCCCTACGTAGCAGCAATGTGAAAAGAATGCCATTTGGAAAACTGCTGCAGTCATAATTTGAGAGGCTGAGTCTCCCTGTCCCCACCCTTTCTCCATTATCTCCTGCCTGCTCTCAGCCTGGCCTCAGCCGTGGGGCTCATGGCAGAAGCTTTGGCAGCCTGGAAGCTTCGTGGGCTTTGGAGTCAGGTAGGCCTGGGTGTATGTAAAGGGAGCTCCACCATGAGGCACATTATTTAACCTCTTTGCGCTTTATTGTCCTCACCACACAGGGATAATCGTGCTCATGCCACACGGATGTTGTAAGAATTTAATAACATATGCAAAATACTGAGTTCTTTACTCAAAACACAGCAGGCTTTCAGTCAATCATCTTTCCCTCCAGTTGAAAAATGTGCATCATCAGAGCCTTTGGGGACATGAAGGGGGCAAACTGGATTTGGGCTGTATCTGCTGAGTTGTTGTGAAGTGAATGTAAACTCCTCTTTCTCTCCCACCTCCACTATTACGCATTTGGATGGTTTCTGCCTAAATTATACAGATCATCTATTTATTCTGATACTCATTTACTTGTACTGTGATGGCCTTATCTTGTTCCCTACTATATTTTTAGTGTCTGGCATAAGGCCTGGCATAATACATACGTGTCGAATGCAGGGCAAAATGTGGGAGTATCAGGCACATATATTGGTGCAGGGGGGCCTCTACCTTTAAAATCTTTAAAAAATTGAAAACAAAATTAAGTACTGGGCTTAGGAAGGGGCCCATGCAAGTGTGGTACCCTGACGCTACAGCTCTGTGAGCTTCAGAGGAAACCTACCTCTCTCTGAAGAAGTGAATGTGGTCCTGAGTAGTCAGCTGATGAATGAGGATATGCCTTTTCTGTGATCTTGTACTGTGCTGTCACCCAGTTTGGTCCTATGATGATTGACTTTAGATCGGCTACTTGAGATGTAGGCTAATGATGAGAAACCATTATACAAGGTATGTCCTGAGGTATGAAACGAACAGCCATGAGACTTTAGAGTGTCATCGGAAAAATTCAGACTCTGGCTTTTATCAATGACAATTAACTTAATTAACAATTAAAAACTAACATGTAGGCCGGGATCGGTGGCTCACGCCTGTAATCCCAGCACTTTGGGAGGCCGAGGTGGGCATATCATGAGGTCAGATGATCGAGGCCAACAACGTGAAACCCTGTCTCTACTAAAAATACAAAAATTAGCTGGGTGTGGTGGCACATGCCTGTAATCCCAGTTACTCAGGAGGCTGAGGCAGGAGAATGGCTTGAACCCGGGAGGCAAAGATTGCAGTGAGCCGAGATCGCGCCACTGCACTCCAGCCTGGCAACAGACAGAGTGAGACTCCATCTCAAAAAAAAAAAAAACAAAAAAAAAAACTAACATGTATTACTCTGCTAGGGGGCTGCCATAACAAAAAACCACAGACTGAGTGGCTTAAAGAACAGATATTTATTTCTCATAGTTCTTGAGTCTGGAAAGTCCAAGATCAAAAGACCCATTCAGTATCTGGTGAAGGCTCTCTTCCTGACTTGAAGATGGCACCCTTCTCACTGTGTTCTCACATGGCCTTTCTTCTGTGTGTGCAGAGAGAGATCACTCTTTCTTCCTCTTTTTATAAGACCACCAGTCCTATTGGATTAGGACCCCATCCTTATGACCTCATTTAACATTAATTTCCTCCTTTAGCAAGAACTATTTTCAAACAGTCATATTGGGAGTTAAAATTTCAACATATGCAGCTGGGGGAGACACAATTTAGTCCATAGAACCTGTAAGGCCTACTTCTGCTTTGCCTCTGGCTCTCATTTGAGGACTCACTTGCCCCCTTGGGCATCGATCTAAGATATGGGGAGAGTATTAGAACAGGTGGGGTAGAAAAATGACCCCCAGGAGGTAGAACCAAAATGGTGCCATGCAATAGATCAGCTTATCCAACCGGATGTTGAGTTGCTGCATTATGTTGAAAGGAGGTAGCAGGCATTTCCTTGGTCTCTGATAAACATTTGCTTTCTTCCCTCCCCCCTTTTATGTTATGTTTACTCCTCTGTTTTCTTCTTTCCTTCTTGTTTTCCTTTTCCTCCTTTCTTCCTTCATTTCCAAAAGTACAGTCAGACACGGTGATTATTCTTGGTCCTTTTAATGATGGTTATCTGCTATTGATTCTCCCAAAATGAAAGGGCTGACTTTGGGGAAAGGAGCAGGAGAGCAGAGGGGTAGAATAGATGTGGGGGTGGGGAGGGAAAGTGGTGATAGGGTAGGGGTGGTGGCAGTGCAGGACAAGAGAATGACTGTGTTGTATCACGGCAGGGAGGCATGTGCTGACACAGAGCAGGAAATACCCCCACTCGATGACTCTGGGTCTCAATTTTCTCATCAGTTAAAAAATATGCCAGAGTAGAAAATCCCCAAGGTGCCTTCCATCTTTAATGTTCATTACCCTCGGTAGCTCCTTCTACCTTACCTTATGGGGAAATGGCATTGATAAATAAGGCTTTTTGTGTGCCTTGTAAGAAAATCATCATGTGAATTCAAAGTATTGCTCAAATTAATTCTAATGAGGTTCAGGGGGAAAAACAAGTAACAACCAAAACTCTTTAATAAAGTGTTCTAAAAAGAAAAAAAGAATTATCGCCCACTTCTGCACTTCCTGCTTTTGGCAGGGACTAGAAGTGGAAATCTGAAAACACTGTGAGACAGTCTGTTCTCATGGTATTTCTAGCTGAGAACAGGAAGGAGGGGAGATCTCATATGAGTGAGAGAGCCTGTTTTTCAGTGATTAGCAGGCCAAAGAAGCTTCACTGGGCAATCAAGCTTGACAGCACCTCCAAAAGTTTTACCTTTATTTGGTCAGCATGGCAGATTTTGCCGGCAGCATCATCACAATCACCAAGGAGGCAGCTATCTCCCATCATTAGTACTGAGGGGCTACCTCTCTGAGGCTGGGTGTTGGGTGCTGGAGACCCAGACGTAAGCAATGTGGCCCCTACCCTTCTGGAGTGTATAACAAAGCTGGAAGGATAAGGTATCTATAAATGAAAAATAATTACAATTCGAAGTAGCATACGCCAAGTGCTGAATTTGCCATGCAGACAATGCTAGGAAGGCGCCGTCCGCACATTTCTGGAAATTCCTGATGAATTTGCATTTGCTCTCCACCCCACCATGGTGCTCTCATCACTTATCACAGAAATATTTTGCACCTTTAGGCAAAACACGTCTCTTCATTCCTTTAACTCTTTTGCCCATCTCCAGTCACAACAGACTTCCCTGTGTGTAATGCAGATGAATCATTGAGGCTGAATCATGTTAACAATAAGCGTTCAATGATTAATGCATATTGATTGGTTGGGCATGCAGGAACCAACCAGAAAAATCCCAAAGTCTAGACTAGATTGCCTCGTCCCTAATTACCTGCCAGAGAGTTACGTGTACTGGCATCTAAAGCTGCAGCAGATATTCTAGGGAATGCCCTTGCTCGCTGACTCCATTAGACGTCATAAATATCCTAAGGTGAGCGTCCATGACATCTTTACATCTAGGGCCAATCAAGGGCTCAGGTACAAGGGTGAGCATTCCCTCTCACCCTTTCACTCCAGCCTCCAGGTGCAGAATACAGGAATCGCCCTTGTGAGAGCAATTCTCTCACCTACTAAGTGGAAAACTTTCCTGGAAAAAGATAAAAAAAAAGATTTGATTTTCCCCTAGAGATAATGTAGTCATAAGGATTATGTTCTGAACAAGGAATTGAAATTCAGTGCTTTATTGAAATGACCACCATTATCATGTTTAATCAACTATTTAATTAAATCTGGGTGATAGTCCTATACGGTGAATAGTAAAATGCTTACTAAAGGGCATGCAAATTCGACAGATACAGTTGGAGCCCATCACGTTGAATTGACTACAAGGTTTTAACCTGGGTGGCTACTTTGTGCCATGAACCAGTTGGGAGGCTGGAGGAATGCATTCAGTTATGGCATGGAATTCAGAAGTATTTCTTTGGATTAATTTTTCCTGGATCTTTGAGAAAACCTAGGATTGCTTCATGACTTTTATTTCATGTTGGGGATACAAAAATGAAGAAGACACAGGCCCAGCCATCGAAGGAGCATACAAGCCAGCTACCCAAATACATACAGATACCCAAACACAGGGGTTAAGAGGACTTTGGGTGTGGGGCTCTGCAGACTGGGAGTTGAGCATAAAATGTGACAATCATCAATGTTACAAACCAGAATGCTGATATCAGGTAGTCATGTTTAAGAATTACATACTCCCAAATTTTTTATTACATATTAATTGTAGGAAATTTATAAAATAAAGGCACAAAAATGAAAGTAAAATCACTCCTACTGTCACCCAACGAGAATCACTGTTAAAATGCTGCTCTATAGCATTCTAGTCATTTTTCTTTGCATTCTTAGGTGGAATTCTTAGTAGAATCACATTGTCTGTTATTTTACAAACTGTTCTTTTCATTTAACAATATGCTGTGAGATATACCATGATTATTTTCCCACACAATTTGCTGTCCTGCTACACCATGATGGTTTTTAATGGTTTTATAATGTTATGTCCTTTGGCTACACCGCGCTTTATTTATCCAGTCTCCTAGAGTAGGACATTAAGACAGTTTTCAGTGCTTCACTAATATAAACAACGCTGTGATGAGAATCTTTGTATATAAATATTTGTGCATCTCGCTGATTATTTCCTTAGGATAAATTTCTAGAAATGAAATTGCTATATTATAGGCATGGAAATCCAAGCCTGGCAGCATGGCTAATATTGAGATTGCAAAACAGGCATGATGAGAAACTGACCCATATATTTCAGCAATGCTTGTGTTTTTGTTTTATGGTTCCTTTATATTGTGTAAACAATATAGTGTGATCTTAGACATAAAAATGTTGGTCATCCTGGGTCTGGCAGCAGAGTCTACCTACTGTTGGCTGCCATTTTGTCAACACTGGCACTTGTACTCTAAATGTGGCCAACACAACTAGATTTATCTGCCACTAAAATGCACAAACAGAGCCTTACTTACCCAGAATGTTCTGTCTTTTGAGTCCTTGTTGCATTTTTACTTCACAGGGTCAGAATTACAATTCTGGGCTGATACATGATTAAACTCAAGAGCAAACAATGAGTTTGATAATACATCCACAATGTAGGGAAAAAATGTTTATCTCCGCTACATGCAAGGTGTATTACTTTTAAAAAGTAGGTCACAACTTCAGCTAGAGCATTCCATGTTAGCAGTCATATTTAGGGTGAAAATGTCATTTGACTATCAGCTAAGGGCACTGCTATTTTCATAAATATACTGAGAGGTACGTATTTAAAAGGAAGTGGCCAAAGGCACCTTACTCAGTGTTTTAATGTTCTGCTTTCAGAATTGTTAGTGCATGAGATCCATAAGTTAGTGTATGAGATCCGTAAGTAATTATATGTTTCCATATATATGGAAATATATAAGTGATGGGACTCTCTTTTTTCCTCATTTGTTTGTTCATTCAATCATTCAGTCCTTTCTTTCTCTCTCTCTGTCTCATTTTTTTTGAGACAGAGTTTTGCTTTTTGTTGCCCAGGCTGGAGTGCAATGGCGTGATCTTGGCTCACCGCAACCTCCACCTCCCGGGTTCAAGTGATTCTCCTGCCTCAGCCTTCCGAGTAGCTGGGATTACAGGCATGCGCCACCACGCCTGGCTAATTTTGTATTTTTAATGGAGACGGGGTTTCTCCATGTTGGTCAGGCTGGTCTCGAACTCCTGACCTCAGGTGATCCGCCTGCCTCAGCCTCCCAAAGTGCTAGGATTACAGGCATGAGCCACCGTGCCCGGCCTCATTCAGTCCTTTCTACAGCTATGTATTGAAAGCCAGTTCTGTGCCTGAAACATGATTCAGCCAATGCCCTCCAAAGCTTATAGTCTAGTGCAGGAACAGAAAGTTAAAAAGCCTTTAGAGTACAGTGTCATGTAGTACTGGATCTCTGTTCCTCTTCTTCCTTTGAGTCTGCTACACCCTGTCCTTTCCCATCCCCTACATCCATATTTCCAGAAAGAGCCTGGGGGCTAGGGCCAAGATGACTCAGGGGTTCTGTGGGGCCCAACAGAGGCTGGGACCCAGGGAGCACCCGCTGGAGCAGGCTCACTGCTGCGGCTCTGCCTGGAACATTTGTGGAGCCTGGGGCCAGAGTACAAATTGAGGCCACTTACCATCTGTCGAAATATATAAAAATTGTAAATCAAGTTAATAAGCTGTGAACTGAAATATAGCTTCAGATGGACAAAATTGAAAAAACGTGTAAAGCTATGGTTTTTATATGATGGAAAGTTGGAAGACTATCAAGCAGTGGGATTTAATTATTGTCATATATGGGTGTTCTGTTGATGGCAGGTTTGCGTAAGTGAAAAAGGATACGTACTCTCCTGGGAAAAACAGTGATTGTCTCTGGGGATTGGGACCGATGCATGAAGAGGGGTCTTTTACTTCTTGATTTAGGTAACTTCTAAAAAACAATGAGATTATGGAAATTTTTTTTCCTCTGTTTTCTCTGTTTTTCAAATTTTCTAAAATAATCATGAATTGCTTAGGTATTTTGAAAGAAAAATAAAACTAAAAAGAAAGAAAAGTTAAGACTAGAAAATCATTCTAGGATTAGAAAGTGTCCCATTAAGTTGAATTTCCAGAAAAAGATTGTATTTAAATTTTTAGACCTATCTGATTATATCCCACAAAGTTAAGAAATTGATTAAAGTTAACCCCAGAAGCACTAAACAATTTTCTTCCAGAGGTCATGGAGGAACTGGAAAAATGCCCAACCATCAAAAAATGGGCAAATAGAGAAACTATATTTTAAAAAGAGAATGGGTACAACCAAGGAACTTATTGCCTGATATTTCCAGGCATAGTATTTTTACAAATAATCAAATATCTATTTTTCAATGAGCTTAGACATTTTAGAATTTGGATAATTTCTATAATAAGATATTTCATTTACTTAGCGATTTCAGCTTTTCAAAGTGTTTCCTGTCAGTTGTCTCATTTTATCCTTACAAGGACTCAGTGAGAGAAGGAAGATGTCATCCCCATTTTCCAGGTAAAGAAAGTGAGGCTTAAAGAATTGAGATTGGGCCCAGGTCCTACGATTGGCCCCCTGTTGAATAAGGACCAGAGCATCGGTCTCTTGGATCTCAGTCCAGTTCCTTCGCCACGGTGCTATTAATAAGTGTACACAATGAATTTTCTAGAATGTGCATGTATTTCTAAAAAGTTTTGTAAATGTCTCTACTTTTTTTTAAAAATTTGTTTTTTATGAAACTCACTTGAAAAAGGCAGCCAAAATTTCTCTATGAGCCACTAAAGAATATTCAGCACCCGTTTTAAGAGATGCCTGACTCCCCTA
Source organism: Homo sapiens (assembly GCF_000001405.40). Classification (NCBI taxonomy): domain Eukaryota; kingdom Metazoa; phylum Chordata; class Mammalia; order Primates; family Hominidae; genus Homo; species Homo sapiens. Next base: position 16,845,573 of record NC_000006.12, read on the forward strand.
TAAGTAATTCCACAAATGAAGATCTTTATAGAAAGTGCTAATTAGTGCTAAGTACCTTTAGAGATGCCTTCCAGGCTAATGTCCAAGGATGTACCAGGTGGGGGAGGAAGTTATAATAACCTTTCCCTCAGGGACTCAGCTGATTTTCTGTGGTGAGGAGAGACTATAAGATTATTTTACTTAGTGCTTATGATATGCATATGTTAATATTATTATAAGACCGGCAGTATCTCAGTTACTTAATCAGTTTTTTCCATTACTATTATCTTGTAATAGTCAGCATTTTACCCATTCTCTTAAAAAATACACTTTGGGAAGGTAATTTGATTTTTGTGAATTAATTTTTTAATTAATTAGAGTTTAAAATGTTTCTAATTTAACTTATAGTTTATTCATTATGGTTTTAGTGCAATACATACAGAGAAGCCAAACAATCTTCCATCCCCACATCACACATACCTAGGTCAACAGCCATAAATAACTGAGGCTGTCATCCAGGTGGGCGGATCACGAGGTCAGGAGATTGAGACCATTCTGGCTAACATGGCGAAACCCCGTCTCTACTAAAAATACAAAAAATTAGCTGGGCGTGGTGGCAGGTGCCTGTAGTTCCAGATACTAGGGAGGCTGAGGCAGGAGACTGGTGTGAACCTGGGAGGCAGAGCTTGCAGTGAGCCGAAATCACACCACTGCACTCCAACCTGGGCAACAGAGCCAGACTCCATCTCCAAAAAAAAAAAAAATCACTGGGGAAAAAATGCCAAGATAAAACTGAAAATCTCAGGTCGATTTATTTTATTTAATGCAAAATCTGAAAAAAAAAAAATCTAGAACTTCATGTAAAAGGCTATTGCTCAATTAAAACAGAGCAAAACAAGGGGTGTTTTCTGAAGGGTGCTCCCTGATGGAGGTATTTTGGGATGTGTATGGCTCCCTGTCTTGCCTAAGTCTGAAAGTGAACAGCATTTTCACTGTAATGATGTAATCATTGCCGTTGACAGATTGGAGATAAAAAAATTTAAAACATGGACATCGGACCATTTTTTCCCTAGGGCAGAAGTCTACAGTTCTGTAGATAAATACATTTTCTCCATATGCATGCATTTTATTCATGTCCTTAGCATGATTGTGTTGACACACTAATATTAGGTTGGTGCAAAAGTTATTGCAGTTGTTGCAATTAAGAGTAGTGGCAAAAACTACAATTATGTTTGCATCAAGCTAATATAATTAATCTGGCCTATTGGAGAAATAAGCAGATTGCTCACATTCTTAGAAAAAGAGCACCTGCTTTCATTCACTGATTTTGTGACAGCTTTGACGACAATAGCAAAATAATTATAGTAAGAAGCCACTAGCAGGCCTTAGCATTTGCATCGTAGGGTCATAATTGGACTAAAACTGTTAAGAAGCATGAGAAGGTCAGCTTTCCACTGCCTTTAGCATTTGTGTAACACTGGGGAAGTATTAATGCATCTGTTATTTTAGCTGGGCACCAGCCATTCAGAAAGCTAAAAGCAGCCATATCTAAGCCTTTTTAAGTTTTCTTAGCCATTGACTCATGCCTTATCCCCTCAGTTGATGGCAACCTGACTTTAGCCAAGCAAACAATATGCTAACAGCACAAACAAAATTGGTCCCTCTCCTTTTTAGAGCTGAGGAATATACTTAACAAAACCTGTGTATTTCCATGCACATAAGTCCCTAAGCACTACATTTCAGTGGTTTACACATCTAATAACGTCAGGAGCTACTCTTCTACCCAGGCTGTAAACCTAACCAGAGCTATTTTGGCATAACAGATACAGTTTGCAGGGAGATTTAAATATGATTGTGGCTCATAACTGTCAACAAATAACACAAAGCCTTATACCCTTCATCAGAAAATCTGAATTTCAGGTGTAAAAGTTTATCGAGGAGCTGCTCCATCTGCCAGGATTGCCTTGCAAAATATGGACAGACATCTAGTTTCTTTGTCCCTGTGTTTTGGAATTTCCAGGAAGCTGGCTTTCCACATTTAATTGGGAAATGAGAAGGGCGTTGGCGGCAGCATTGCCTGATGGGAAGCATCATGGTAGCTTGGTGGGAGGGGCTTTGTTCTCCTTCCAAACCATCCCAAATGAATGAATAAGCAGCGTGCTTGCTATGCCAGTGCAGCATGGAAGTCTCCTACCCACCTTCAGCAGGTTGCCTTTCATTAGCTCCCCGCTACAAAGACATTTTGTGGTGAAAGTAAAGGCTGACTTGGTGAAGTTATTGGCAAATGTCCTGAACCTCGACCTCCACCTAGAATTTCCCACTCACATACAGTAATAGAACAAGCCGGAATGAGTACTGAGCTATGTATTTGCATGAGGCTAAGTCTAATTTTAAATTGTGAATCCATTTGAGCTGTGCAGCTCACTTGAGGAAGGATGGAGGATTGAGCAATGCATATGTAGAGACTCACTAAAATTTGTTATGTAAATGAATCACCCATACGTACAAGCACTGTGCAACTGTGGTGAACTCGGCACTCACCATCCCTATCCTCAAGGGTCTCTTGGGCTAGCGAGGGACAAGAACAATGGCAATTCCAAAGCATTCTTTGACAGAAAAACAACAACAACAATAACAACAAAACTAACACACGATGCTATAGTATCAGGCCAGAGGGACAGCCAACTCAGGTGTGCAGAAACTGGGAAGATTTCAAGGGAGAAGTTGCATGGAAGTCAGATCCTGAAGGATGTGTAGACATTAGTTATGGGTAGAGAGGAGGGAGGAATACTCTAGGCAGATGAAAGCCCATGCTTAGCGATCTGTTTTGAGGTAAGAAAGGTGAGCAAGACATGGTCACAAAGGGCCTTGCAAAGTCGTGTTTTGAAATTTGGGCTTTATCCTATGAGCAGTGCTTAACCCATTGAAGGGTTTAAGCAGATCAGTGATATGATCAGAATCAGATCTGGGTTTTTTAAAAAAATCATTCTTTGTTTGAAGCTTATTTCATCAGGATCCTCTCTACCTAACATTTTGCAAATGATGATGACTATACCTGAGTGCATTATTGTCTTTTTTACAATATGGGAGTATAACATTAGCATTATTATATAAATGCATGCCACCTTATTTTAAATGACCATGATGCCGATAAAATAATAAAAATAACCACAATAAAATTTGTTGAGTGTTTACTGAATGCCAGGAACTGTGCTAAGCTTCTTATAAATTTTCAAATCTAACCCCTTTGAAATAAATCATGTTACTGCCCACTTTGTAGATAAGGGAATAGTAGATAAGAAGCTGTAAGTAACTTGCTTAGGTCATATGGGAAACATGGATCAAAATTGCAGCGCTGGTGGTCAGACAGCAGAGACTACGCTGCTCCCCACTCTCTAGACTACAGTTCCGCTCCCTCCTCTCCACCCCCTCCAAAAGAAAAAGGTGAATGATCACATCAAAAATAGTCCATGAAATTAGCTGGGAAGTAATTTTCACCAGAATGATTGATCCAAATATGCTGGGTGGACATCATGACCCCGTTGGTATGTGTGTAGAAACTGGGTACCAGCTTAGTCCCTTGCTGAAAGGCTGTTTGTCATACTCTGGTGCAATGGTTTAAGGAACTTCAAATTTAACTAATTAGCAAGAAATAACGATAATAAAAACACTCAGACTTAGGGACATTGGAATCTCTTCATCTTAATGAAAAGAATCTTGTGGAAAAGGAACAAAAACTATTAAGAAGAGTGACAAGATTAGCCTGTATTGAGGATGAAAAAGTGTGAATCACAGGTTAAAATAACAAGTTTCCTAATACCATTGGATTGTGGATAGGATCTGGGCAATTTGGCCTGTGGTGATCTCACCTATGTAACGATATTACAAGCATAAAGAAGATGTCATCCTCACTAAGCAACTCAAGTTGCTTCTCCAGGATGTACTTCCTTCCTTAATTATGTTTTACTAGTGCACGCCCCTATTTGGGCAATCACATGTCACCTCTTAATCTCATCGGTGATGCTTGCGTTAGAGGAAGATAACAATTGCACTCTCATTAATTGCCTGCTTATCTGGGCTGACATTTCCAAACCCACACAGGGAGCCCATAACTTTCTGTTCAAGAATATTTTAGTCCAACTAAATGAGCATTTCACTGTTGACATACTAAATAAAAGGGTTGACTCACTCGTTACCCTGGAACCAAGGCTGTATTCTTAGAGGGTGTCACCTTACAGAGCCCTGGTGTCCTTAAAAAGAATCTGCCTGTTCCTGAACTCTCATGAAATTCTATATTCCAGCCTTCCGAATCCCAGAAGCCGGCTAACTGGTAAAAATTGAGAATGAGATGCTGGCGTGTGGAGAATACTAGGCATGATAGGCTAAAGAAAGGAAAGCCCTTCTTCGGCAATCGCTGGATTTAACGTCTTATTCAGGGACCAGACTTGAGCTGGAAGGAGGGGAAGATAAAGTTTGGTTTTCCTGTGACTGACTGGCTGTGCCCACAGAAACAGAGGCCTCCTCCCGCAGCCCCAGCAGTTGCGGTCAGGGAACCTCGTGCTGTGTTAGTGGCTGTGCTACTCTTTGTACAACAGCCCTGTCTCTCCAGCTCTGGCTGGAGCACAGGCCGCAAATAAATTGCTAACATTTAAGTGCATCTGTTGCAAAGAGAGAAGCACAGAGGACACTGGGGAAATTTCGAACCAAATTTCAGGACTGAGCTCATAAAAGCATGCACCATCTGTGGAATTTTGTTCATATGCATCACTATAATGGGAGGGGGGCAATAGAGAAGGGAAAAAAGAGACAGATAAAGGATTGAGTGGTAACTGGATTTCAAACTGAAGTGTCTCTTCTCAGGTCGGTTCTCAGGTGGCATTTGGGCCAGGCAGGATCCTATCTTTCCTTACACTGAAGGGTCTGGCCGTGGGGATCTAATTGCATGAATCAGCAACCACAAATTCCTTCTGCCCCTGTGTCTAAACACAATTTCCCCCTGCCCTCCACCCTCCATCTGCCCCCCACCCTCCATAATTTACTGATCCTGTACAAAGATTTAAGTAAGACTTTCCATCTTTCTTCCTGCTGCTTTGCTACTGCCCCAGGCTGAGCTGAGTCTAACTCTTTTCCTCCCATCATCCGTGTGGCAAAAAAAAAAAAAAAAAAAAACTAAACGCAAAAACAAAACAAAAACAAAACCCTGATCATTTTCTGATAAGCACTTTACATTTCTATAGCGCAGGAAAAGGGAAGTTCCTTCAGAATCCCTTTATAGATGATCGCTCTCATTGTCTAACAAGCTTTTCATTGTTTGTAATTTTCATTTCCCTCCACAGTTCAGGGCACTTTGGAAAAAAACTCTATTCAGCACTTTTCCACTCATAATTCACGAGAAAAGAGTCATGCAGTATAATAAGGATAATTAGCTCTGACTGAAAATAATAAGCTTGGCACCAGAGAGCCCCCCCATGCACACAGTATCCATTTATCGTTTTGTGTACCCTCTGTCAAGGCTAATCACTACTCCTGTAATTACTAACCTGTTGAAAGGACAAAGGAAAATGCAATGCTGTACTTAAATAAATAACACTGCTTCTTCCCATATCATCTCAATAAAACTCTTTTAGAACAGACTCTTTCCTTACAATTTTAGAGTTTAAAACTGCTGTTGTTTGTCCTCAAAAATATGATTTGCTATTGTAAGAATGATTTTCACTGTGTATGCATGGAAGAGGGGTTGCATTGCTTTAATTTAGATTCTTGTAAGATAAAGATAGCTGGGAGTGATGATCTCATGTTTAATAAGGCTCAACATTTATGTCGCGTGCTTCCTTTTCATTAATTTGTTAACCTTGGCGCAGTGTGGGAACAAGCACCATGTGAATGACCATATGCTTCCCCTGTTATTGTATCTTAATCCAGACCAGCAGACACTTGTAGTTTCCCTCCTAGGAGAGATGCTGCTGGTCATGCCAAACCTAAGTGGAGAAAGATGTAGACTAATAAAGTCCTCTCTCTTTTCTAGGAGTGATGCACCCTGGGAAGGATTAAAACACAGGTTCCGATTGTCATCCTTTTCATTCCTCATTTATCTGCCTGTCCCGCCTGATCCTACTAATGATTTTTTCTCTTCTGTACACGCTCTGAACCTTGTCTGCTAGGAAACAATTCATGTTCTTTTGGACTATGCATAAAGAGGGTTGTGGATGTTGGTGTTTCAAGATAGTGAAGTCTGTTGTCTCAGCCCACCCTCTCTCTAAACAGAATTCTCAGTCCTCAGAAATAACCTTCTTTCAGGTTTACACAGAAAGAAGTATCCACATCAGACACACAAAGTTAGCTTGCATTCATTTCTGGGATCCAAATGGTTCATCTCTTATCAAAAGACGAAAATGAGAAATGTTGTTAAAGAGATTGCTGAGTCATTGTTATGAATCTGTAAAGAGTTACAGAGAACAAGGAAGGTTCAAAAACTGGGGTGTCATTCTGATTTCCAGAAAGGAAGTGAAAGTGAATTCTGGCCAAGATGCTAGAATGGATTATTTAAGAGAAGCAGCAATGATCACTAGGAGCTAGCACTGGTTCACTAAGAACAAATCATGTCAAACACAACTCATTTCTTTCATCGACAATATAACCAGGCTTATAGATAAGGAAATAAGCTAGATTTTTGACCTTTGTTTTCCGTCTATATTTGAAGCTTCATTAAGAATCTCACAAAATCATAATATTCTTGTGGAGGAACTGGCAGATTATTAGTGGAATATTAGTAATAACCATTATTATTAGTTATTACCCTCAAGCCAGAAAAACTGGAGGTGTTCAGGGAGAAGAAAACAGGGCAATAAGGAATTAGATACTATATCCATGAGAAACAACAGGGAAAAAGAGACTTTTTAGGGGGGACAGAAAAGAAAAAGTGTCCTGGGTGATTGGACTTCCGTATGGAACTGTGAGTAGCACTTGGACCACAATGGCAAAAAGTGACAGGGACCTGGATTCCAGCTCAACCATCAGAGCTATCCAAAGATGGAATGAGTTGCCTCTGAAGGTTCAGTGAGTGCTCCATTACTGTAAAATCACAAAGGGCTACTTTACAACAGAGTAGAATTTCATAGTTTACAAAATCTTCACGTAACTCCTTGTCTTAAATCTTTTCCAGGCAAGCTGAAACCTGAGGCTCTATCTGAAGCTCAATGAGTTTTAGGAGAACTGGTCTAGTCTAGGGCTCCTGGATACGGATCAAAAAAGGAACTGAACATTGCATTTTGGATGAAGGCCGTCTTGGGAAGTTCCAAAGTAATCTGAAAAAGATCTTATTGGAAACGGAGATAGAGGAACAGCAAGGACCTCGCCAGAAACAATGTTAGTCGCTAATGCTGAGTGATGCTACTGCTCATGGGATGGAGGAGTGGCCACTGTCTACTGCAACCTTTGGAGAGAGGGAGGCAGCCTTCTGAAAGTCTACACTAGACTTCCCTTGTCAACAGCAGGCAGAGAGCTCTTTAAGACACTGAGCCAGTTCCAAAATTATCACATTTTATCCTCATAACTACCCCTCTGGGTGAATAGGAAAAGCACTTGTGTCTCCATTTTTCAGAAGAAGAACCTGGAACCCAGAGAGTTGGTGTAAAATTTTCCAAGCCACACAGCAAACATAAGGCAGAGCCATACGTACAACAGCGTAGGTCTTCTGCCTCACTGCAGGCTTCATCGCACCAAGGTCAATATGAGAACATAGGGAGCAGATAGATACGTTAACACAGACAAATGGATCTTGCCACCCTGGCATGCTCTGTATTCTTTTCCTCCTGCCCTGATTTCTATAATTTGTTTGACTGCAGAAAACTGCAACATCTTCTGGGTCTCCCCATTGATCTACTTGTACCTATCTGATATATTTTTGAGGTAGAGTTCATAATGCTACCAATTCTTTTTATTTGAATCTGTCTCAAAATCATAGTGTATAGACGTTCATTTGCTCCTGCTTATAATTACAGACTAAAAGATATTATTCAAGCCTCTAAGGAGTTGGACGTTTGCAGCCACTCAGACAATTTATAACTGTCAGTCTAAAGTAAGATGGTGAGTTCTTCATTAGTCTGGAGTCAGATCCCAAAGTGGAGGGTGGGCCCAAGTGGTTAGGACTATTTTAGCTTACCAAGATACCTGGGCATTATTGTAATTATTTTGGGAGGAAAACATCCCTTTACTATATTTATGTCTTTAAAAGAAAACAGTTTTGGCTGGGCATGGTGGCTCATGCCTGTAATCCCAGCACTTTGAAAGACCGAGGCAGGAGGATCACCTGAAGTCGGGAGTTTGAGACCAGCCTGACCAACATGGGGAAACCTCGTCTCTACTAAAAATACAAAATTAGCCGGGTGTGGGGGCAGATGCCTGTAATCCCAGCTATTTGGGAGGTTGAGGCAGGAGAATCACTTGAACCCGGGAGGCGGAGGTTGCAGTGAGCCAAGATCACGCCATTGCACTCCAGCCTAGGCAACAAGAGTGAAGTTCCATCTCAAAAAAAAAAAAAAAAAAAGAATTTGCTGAATCATTTATTGGGTTTAACCAAATATTATTATTTAAAAAAACACTACTTATATTTTTTTAAATGATTTTTTGAGCTGGTCAATGCATAGCCACATACAATAGATTAATATAAAGGCATGAATATGTAAAGAGGACAAACTAATCACTCCCAGGCATAAGTCATTTCAAAGAATCATAGTTGCTAGTTGTGATAATGAGAAGAGTGTCTTTGACTTGAAAACGCTTATAAGTAGGATGCCGTGCTCTTTATGAGTTTTGAGTTTCCCAAAGACCTTTGAGGCTCATGTTGAGTTAGGAGAATGAGGAAGGAATTTTTCTGGACAGAGCTTCCTTCTCACTTTAGTTGAGTATTATTATGAGCTGTCGGAGGGGTAAATAACCTTATAAGGATAAATCTAAATCTGAATTCCTGGGACTTTTGCTGCAATTATTTTATGGTGGCATTAGGAATGCTCAGGAGGCTCTTGTCTAATCTGCCACCTATGAAATAACATTGGTAATCATGTAGTAAAGAAGGGAATTCTGAAAACCTCGTGGAACAAAGAAAATGGTAGTGTTTAGTCTAAACCAGAGCAGCAAGTTGAACTTCCTTTGTTTGTCTTCTTCATTCTGTCTCACAATCTCTTCTTTCCCTCCCATCAATCCTCACTCGACAGTTAGGTTCCAGGTCATTTTCCAATTCACTCAAATAGATGCCTCTGATGACCCCGTATCACACTGTCTAGCTGCTCAAATCTCTGAGAATATCTTCTTGTTACTATAAACTACAGATTGTGGGAGATATAAAAATTAGTTAGGCACAGTTCTCATCTATTTAGGAAGACTATCCCTGTGTAAAAATAGAGCCAATGAGACAATCAGACAGTGCAATGCCAGACAATGGTAAATGCCTGGCACTTAGTACACACAATAGGAGCTACATAACTTCAGAAAGCAAGTCCCTTTGGATTCAGGCAATCAGGGAAGGTTTCTCAAATGTGAGAAGTGAGATGAACAATCCCTGGTGCCCATAGTTCTTATGAAACTATACCTGAGTGGCTTCCATATAAGTCTTATTCAAATGTGGCTGTTTAGTTGCAAAATGACTCAACCCAACTGCCACATGCATAGTTTATTTGTGGCTACTCAACATTCTTTGTTATTTCTCTGTGCCCAAGCACACTTAAATGGACTTGTTTTTATAGTGTTGTGCTATAATTGTAGTTGGATTCAAGATTGGACGCCAGATATAGGTGAGGCAAGGCAAGGTTAACGTGGAAGCAGTTTATCTGAAAACAGTTGAGCTGTCAGGAGCACTGCAAAGTCAGAAATCAAGACAAGGGCAAGAGGATAAAACTCAGCAAATAAACTGGAACTGGCTCAAAGTATCAGCACTCACATAGACATGGGCATATGGATATTTCAAAACTGAAGGTACCTTCCACAGATTGTCTTATGGACTTTATGCTAGAATAGAATCAAGGGAAGAACTGGATGGGTAAGGCTCTGTAATAGGGAGTAAGTTAACCACCTAGAAGAGGAAGTAATTAGGTTGTGGTATAGTAAAATATATGGGGCAAAACACAGACTAATCTTTACACTCAAAATTCTTTTTGGGGTATCAAATAGTTTACTTAGCTCAATTACTAAGTAAACATAGTTTACTTAGCTCAATTTCAGATAATAGAGCATGAAAATATATAATTGATTATGTTGAAACATTGGTTGTGGGGGAAAGTGGTCATACTGGTCCTGAAATATGCTAATTGGAGCTCTCTTAGAGTGCTGAAGTTTGATCTAATCCACACCTAGGAACATCAAAACACTCCTTGAACTTCCAGGTTAATTTTTCACGTGCCTCTAATGGTAGCACTCATCTTTTCAATGTAGACAAACCTTATGATTTTCAATGAAAGTGCTCATGTAAGACCTTTAAAAACCAAGACCTGTGTGTTCTTCATGAAAATGTAAGAGTCCCTGACATTTAGGGTAACAGAAGGAGTTGCTCTGATATTCATTGCTAAATTTACAAGATTTGGCTGAAACTCCAAACGTCTGTCCTATCACGGTGGAGTATTAGTCAGTCTTTAAAACCTTTAGCTTACTGTACTCTGGTGTGTGAGTGTGTTAAATGCCATGAACTATGTGACTGGTGGGCAGATAAATTGCCCAGATTCAAGCAATTTTTCAAGGCAACTATTGACTACATGGAGTCATTTAGCTTAATCTAGGCATTCAAATCATTTGGGAGAAGAGGAGAATAACAGACGTGAACCATAGTGTCCAGGAGAGTTAGAACAGTCTTTTAAAGATTGTCAAGTGTAGCAGTCTAAAGTAATTTGGTGAGTAAGTATGTTTTTCCACTAATTCTGAGAGATGGCAACGTATTACCAGGAGAAAGTTTCCCAGATAAAATAATTTGTGGACACTGTGTTAAGCAAAGCCAAACAAGTTCCCTTGTGGTTCTTAGAAATTTTAATATGCTAGTATGCATTAGGAATAAAGAGGGCCATCAACTTATTTCGCTAAGACTTTTAAAAACTTTCATGGATATAGTATTCTGAGAAATGCCAAAATATTTTCTCTTCAGAATGAAAGCAAGACCCAGAGTGGTTAAGGGCTTTGCCTAAAGTTACAAGCTACCTATGCACAAGGAGCTCTAAAATGATTTACTTGAGTGAGGGATCACCATGGTGGTACAACACTGTGTGAAAAATAGACAAAGGAAAGAATGGCGACCATTTCTGAAACAATTAATGCTACAGATTTGAGGTTTTGAGTTGCATTGGACAAGGAGGCAAGGGAATGGCAGGAAGTAGCTTTACATCAACCAGACTAGATCATACATATGTGTGACCTATTGGCCCTACAGAGCACTTGGGTAAGGCCACAGCCCCTAGCCACCAGAGAAACTCACCATCAGCCATCTTCATCTGACTATCATTTGCACAGACTGGATGGATTTCCAGAGGAATGTGTGGAGACCAATTAAAAGATGGCATTAATTTTTATAATGAGCATTTGCATTAGCTTATAAATCTGAGAAATACATAACATGCTGCATATTAGTAATACCTTTTTGTTGCTTTTAAATTTGCACTAGAATATTTTCCAACCATGTCTAGAAAAACACTATTAGAAAGGGGCTTCACTTTCCATTAATGATTTTAAGAGGAAAATTTTATAGTAGGATTCATGACCCACGGATCCCTAGGTGTTACATAAATAATACAGGAAACTGCAAAATGATCTTATGTAAAGTCACTCCACAAAATGCATGTTTAATTAGCACCTACTAATAAAACAGATGCATATGAAATTATTTAGAGTGACATGTACTATTCTGAACAATACAGTCTCAGCTCAGGTTGCCAAGGGCATGCAACATAACCTGTTTTTAATTGAGCAATTTATCACCAAACAAAATAAGAGACAGCTTGTGTTTTATAGTTTCTGTAGTACATCATTATCCAACAATAAATGCAAAAATAAATTACAAAAAAACAAACTTTAAACAAGAAAAAATTTAAAGGCACAGATTTTTTTTTTGTGGGGGCATTTAATAATCTAAGAGTTTTATGTGAAAACCAAAAAGTGGATCGACACCATGCTGGTTATTTTAAAAGCAAAATTGTAGTGTTTTCCTTTAACTTGACCACATTATTTTCAATATGTTGTAAGAACTACCTTTGAAGAATAGCCCAGAGCAGTTTTAAAGGCATGACTCTCAAATTTAGAATCTATTTTGATTTTGTACAAATGCAAAACAGAAGATTTATTTTAGTTGAAATAGGTTGCTTTTCACCACACATACACACACATACACACACACACTCACACACTCATAGGGTCAAAGAAAAAACTGGCAAATAATATGATGAAAACAGTAAAGAAGAACAGGGGTGCCCTTAGGTTTCAGTATTCAGAACTATCCTGGGAACTTCTCAGTGAGGGATTGTTTAATCACTTTTTGACAACAACTCTAACATTTATGATTAGATGAATGTCAAAGGCAGTCTTGAAAGGCAAAAAAAAGAAAGAGAGGAAAGAAAGGAAGAAAGAGAAAAAGAAAGAAGAGAGAGGGAAAGAGAAGGAAAGAAAGAAAGAAAGGAAAAGAAAGAAAAAGAGAGGGAGGGAGGGAGGGAGGGAGGAAGGAAGGAAGGAAGGAAGGAAGGAAGGAAGGAAGGAAGGAAGGAAGGAAACCAACACCAGAGCATCGCTGCTTGAGAGATAATTATGGGAAGGTCAAAGGGCAGTCCTCCTACTTGCCATGACACCATCCTTGGCCACGGCAGTGACTAGAGTTTATTGTGCGTATCTGACTCTCATATCTTTTTTATCTCAGGACCAGCTGTGTCACCTCATTCTCACCCAGGAACTGTCTCTCTCTCTTGCCCCATCCCCCTGTCCTGTCAACCTAACTCTTGTCCTTTAAAGTCACTGCTGAGCTGCCTGGGGCCTGAGTCCTAACAGCATCGGGCGGGGATCTGAAGTGACCTTATTACTGGGCTAAAATATGAGGAAAATTCTGAATCTCACTCTAACTTATAAGAACTGTGGATTCAGAGGTCATGAATTTCATTTCTTTCTCCAAGCAAAATTCGGGAAATATTTTAGATACCTACTGTATTCAAGGTGCTGAGCTAGGTACTATCAGGTGAAACAGGTCTCTTATCAAAGAGGTGACAAGTAAGCGTCATAAGAGGAGTTTTTAATAGGATGAAGATCAGGAAAAAGCTAGGATTAGAACTGAACAGATGTGTGATTCCCTTCCTTGAGAGCCAGCCTATACCTCTGAAGTTAAACAAGTGCATAGAATCCTGGCCTAATTGGAGAGGAGCTGTTCTCCATTGATCCAAGTTTTTGGATACTATTAAGTATCTCCAAATAGTTCTTGGTGCTATACCTTGCAATGGTTGCTGTGCGCTCACATCGTATGCAATGGAAATTATTTAGCCTATCCTACAGCAGAATAAAGTGCCATACATAGAGAATCAAAAGTTTTGTCTATAATAACATGAATCCATTTTAACAGAAAAAAACCTCACCATTTTACAAAATATAGTGATAAAGTGTTTGAAAAATATTTTTGAAATGTAAATATTAGCCTTGTATGGTCTTTGGCTTAAAAGTTTGGATTTGTATACACTTGGTTCTCCAAAAGTAATACATGCCCATGAGTGTTCCTTAGGGGAGTAATTCCAGCACTGGCTTAAGCCTTTACATATTGAGTTCTATATAAACTTTATGTACCGCCTTCATTTTCTTTTGGCTTCATTTTTCTCACTTATTTTACCTGTTTTCTTTTTCCTCTTCTTGTATTACAAGTCTCTATATAAGTTGCTTTCAATCCTTTCTGTAACTAGATAGGGTATTCATTCATAAATAAAATATCAGCTCTACATCTTCTCTCTAAGACACAAGATGTCCTCATGTTGCCATGCCAGGCCCAGGTCAGAGGCAAAATAATCCCCTTCAATCCCATGGTTACTATTAAGAAAGTTCACTCACTGGGCACTAGTAAGGCCCTGTGCGTTTATAATAGCTTAGCAACTACTTTCTGTTAAGGACCAATGCCTTTTGTGGCCCTAAAAAGCAGGGTACACATTTTTGCTCTTGAAGACATGATCAACATGTTCTATTGGAAGGGTGTTTCAGATATAACTTTTGCATGTGAATAAGAAAAAAATTCAGGGCTGCCAGCTCTTTAGACTCCTTGAACATCAGAGGCCGAGAAAACAACATTTTCAAACCTTTTATGTATCAACAGAATAAAATATTTTGAAGACACACTAGTCGCATATGGTTATCCCAGAATATCACAATTCATGAATATGGGTGTTATTGTTTTTTTGTTCTGCAAGAAAGCTTCACACACTCTTTCACAGATATGCCAAGTATAGCTTGATTCATAATAGATTCATAATAGACGCTGAAAGATGAACATGTGAACCGCCTGCAAAGTAGTTAACCATGTTTTATTTGTTGTTGACAAAGCTAGCAGCACTTTCTTTGCCTTGGAGTGGGAATCAGGAAATTTAACTATTGGTCTGAAAAGCAAATGAGAATGTGAAACTGAACGTAGCCATGTGATGAGGTGACTTCACTATTCTTTACCTCAGTAAGCCTTCAAAAATAAATAAACCTAATTCTGTGAAGAAAGTCATTGGTAGCTTGATGGGGATGGCATTGAATCTGTAAATTACCTTGGGCAGTATGGCCATTTTCACGATATTGATTCTTCCTACCCATGAGCATGGAATGTTCTTCCATTTGTTTGTGTCCTCTTTTATTTCCTTGAGCAGTGGTTTGTAGTTCTCCTTGAAGAGGTCCTTCACATCCCTTGTAAGTTGGATTCCTAGGTATTTTATTCTCTTTGAAGCAATTGTGAATGGGAGTTCACTCATGATTTGGCTCTCTGTTTGTCTGTTGTTGGTGTATAAGAATGCTTGTGATTTTTGTACATTGATTTTGTATCCTGAGACTTTGCTGAAGTTGCTTATCAGCTTAAGGAGTGGAACCAAAAAAGAGCCCGCATCGCCAAGTCAATCCTAAGCCAAAAGAACAAAGCTGGAGGCATCACACTACCTGACTTCAAACTATACTACAAGGCTACAGTAACCAAAACAGCATGGTACTGGTACCAAAACAGAGATATAGATCAATGGAACAGAACAGAGCCCTCAGAAATAATGCCGCATATCTACAACTATCTGATCTTTGACAAACCTGAGAAAAACAAGCAATGGGGAAAGGATTCCCTATTTAATAAATGGTGCTGGGAAAACTGGCTAGCCATATGTAGAAAGCTGAAACTGGATCCCTTCCTTACACCTTATACAAAAATCAATTCAAGATGGATTAAAGATTTAAACGTTAGACCTAAAACCATAAAAACCCTAGAAGAAAACCTAGGCATTACCATTCAGGACATAGGCGTGGGCAAGGACTTCATGTCCAAAACACCAAAAGCAATGGCAACAAAAGCCAAAATTGACAAATGGGATCTAATTAAACTAAAGAGCTTCTGCACAGCAAAAGAAACTACCATCAGAGTGAACAGGCAACCTACAACATGGGAGAAAATTTTCGCAACCTACTCATCTGACAAAGGGCTAATATCCAGAATCTACAATGAACTCAAACAAATTTACAAGAAAAAAACAAACAACCCCATCAAAAAGTGGGCGAAGGACATGAACAGACACTTCTCAAAAGAAGACATTTATGCAGCCAAAAAACACATGAAGAAATGCTCATCATCACTGGCCGTCAGAGAAATGCAAATCAAAACCACTATGAGATATCATCTCACACCAGTTAGAATGGCAATCATTAAAAAGTCAGGAAACAACAGGTGCTGGAGAGGATGTGGAGAAATAGGAACACTTTTACACTGTTGGTGGGACTGTAAACTAGTTCAACCATTGTGGAATTCAGTGTGGCGATTCCTCAGGGATCTAGAACTAGAAATACCATTTGACCCAGCCATCCCATTACTGGGTATATACCCAAAGGACTATAAATCATGCTGCTATAAAGACACATGCACACGTATGTTTATGGCAGCACTATTCACAATAGCAAAGACTTGGAACCAACCCAAATGTCCAACAATGATAGACTGGATTAAGAAAATGTGGCACATATACACCATGGAATACTATGCAGCCATAAAAAATGATGAGTTCATGTCCTTTGTAGGGACATGGATGAAATTGGAAACCATCATTCTCAGTAAACTATCGCAAGAACAAAAAACCAAACACCGCATATTCTCACTCATAGGTGGGAATTGAACAATGAGATCACATGGACACAGGAAGGGGAATATCACACTCTGGGGACTGTGGTGGGGTCGGGGGAGCGGGGAGGGATAGCATTGGGAGATATACCTAATGCTAGATGACACGTTAGTGGGTGCAGCGCACCAGCATGGCACATGTATACATATGTAACTAACCTGCACAATGTGCACATGTACCCTAAAACTTAAAGTATAATAATAATAATAATTAAAAAAGAAAAAAAAAAAAAAAAGAATGGAGAAGTCAAAAAAAAAAAAAAAAAAACAAATGATAACAACAAGAAAGTAAAATGACAACCATTAAAAAAAAAAAAAAAAAAAAAACAAAAATAAATAAACCTTTTTTTCTTTAACAATTTCTCCCCTACTGGAATGTGAATGGTAAAAGAGAAATCATCTGCAAAATCCTTTATTGTGCTTTGAGGGAAGGTATTATAATAAAATACATATTACTATTGCAAAGCCAATTATTCCCTATATATTTTCTTTTGCAATACAGAAAACCCAAGAAATAGGAAAACCTGAGTTCCAGTCCCCACTTTACCACTGAGTAGTACTCAAGTCCAAGGTCAACTGAAGATACTAATTGACCCTGGACTTGAGTCTGATTATCTAGTTCATTCAGTCCACCAACATTTAGAGGTATGTTCAAGACACCATTCCAAATAGAGAATATATATGATAAAGCCCTTGTTCTCTTGGAATGCACAGTCATGGACGATAAGGAGAGAGGACAGACACTAAAAAACATAGAATGGTAAAACCAAGTATTATGGAAGTTTAGAAATTTGAACTAAGCCATTTTGTAAGGTCTCTCTGAGCTTTGTGATTCTACAGAAACCTTGTCCTGACTAGGAAGACGATTTTACTTTTTCTGATGAGGAGATGTCTTCAGAAATAATCTGCTAATGAATAGATGATCCTGTTAGGAATGGGGCATGACACTTTACAAACTATATGATAGAACTGGTAGGAGTTTAATAGGAGAAGAGCTAGCCTTGGGTCTCCAAGGGAAGGCAGAGAGGAGGGCTGGAAATTGTGGAAATTGTGGCTCACCATCAAGGGGAGTGATTGGGGCAGGGAGTCCAGGATGGCAAAGCATCCTAATGAGTGACGAGCGCAGTGTGAAGAATTCAGAGCAAGAGATGCAGACAAACAGGGCAGAGCAGACAAGCAGCTGACATGGATGAAGGGCATCAGATGGAAATAGGCTTGCAGCCCCCAAGAGGGGGTTCATGGCCATGGCTATTGTTCCTGGGTAAGGAAGAAGCAAAGAGCTACAGTCCTGGGGCAAGTATAGTACTAGGCAGTTTCCCACAACAGGAAATTAGGAGCTAGGAACAGTGGAGAAACCAGTTATAAAAACAGCAACAAATGCAAGATGAGAGTGGAAGCAAAGGTCATGCGATGCTAAACACCAGACTGTTTACCAGGAGACTTAAGTCTTGCCACACAAGCAAGGACTGTTCTTGGGAAGTGAAGACAGGGCAGAGTTTGGGTTTGGGGGTGGTCAAGATGGGAAGTAGGGCTGTGGGAAGAAGAGGAATTCAGAGGTGTGGAATCAGGCAAAGGACACTGTTCATAATCTAGGCTTCCTCGGGTATAATGAAGCCTCTCTTCGTAGATGGATCTTCCTAAATGATTTGCTAATAAAGCAAATATTCTTCTTATGTAACTGTAGTGGCTTCTGAGATTGTCCCATCAACATTCACACCATCCCTTTGCCATTGTTCAACATATTGATCTCCACCTCCAGGGATGAACC
Organism: Homo sapiens; assembly: GCF_000001405.40. Lineage (NCBI taxonomy): Eukaryota > Metazoa > Chordata > Mammalia > Primates > Hominidae > Homo > Homo sapiens. The sequence goes on from NC_000006.12 coordinate 16,863,659, forward strand.
CTAATTGGTCTAAGCTGATCATGGTAACCCCATGCTGCTGACCAGTGATTGACACAGGAACCCAGAGTTAAGCCAGTCAATGCACAGCATTCACTTGGACAGGGCCATTTGTCAGGAATAGTTTCATGATGCAATTCAGCCAAAAGATACAAGGGAAGTTTTTTAAGGGTTTCAGGTATGTTTCCTTGCCCTCAACGGAGAGGCACAAGGAGAGATGCTCTTCCTTTCATGTGGGCCTCATAGGGTGCTGATGTGTGGCCTTGTAGTAACATATTGTGGCATTTCTCTGGCAGCTTGAGAATAAAGAACAAGGAAGAGGGCAGGGCCATGGGATAATAAGGAGAAGTCATATGTAATAACTGACCTACCTCTAGACCTTTATTTATGCAAGGCAATACAATTCTTTATTGTCTAAATCAGTTGATTTGGATTTTCTCTCACTTGCAGCCAAAAGCATCTTATCTGATATAACACCTTAACTATTGCCAAGTTTAACACTTAGGGGCCATTGCATCATTAGCAAGCTAGTCTACAAATCACATCTGATCATAGACAATTCTAAAAGCTAGAATCAACTTATTAAGAGAGAGTCAATTTAATAATATTGAGCCTGCTTCAATCTTTAGGCTCTGTGGCATAAAGCAATAGGCCAGACTTGGCTTCCTGCCCTGGTTCTGCCACTCACGACTTGCCTATCCATGGAAAGTCCACCTTGCTTTCTTGAGGATTGAGTTATATCATCCATACAGCTCTATAATTTTCTTCAGCTCTATAATTTCAATAAACAACTCAATCAAATTCAACAGTCCTGGAGAAAGAACTTATGTGTCAGGCATGATTATAGGCATTAGAAATAGAACATGGAGTCATGGTTCCTGATGTTATGGAGCTTAACATCTTCAATAATTCTACCATGTCCAGTGCAACTAAACTAACTGATAGGTTAAAGAAATGGGGACTAAGCAAGAAGGGTGGTCTTCATGCTTCTCTATGAGACTTGACTAAAATGATCAGGATTTTTTGGTCTGAACAGATGAAGTCAAGGAGAAATATGGTTTATGTGGAGAAAGTAAACATGGACCATTGTTTATCTTTCTTTCCCTAAGAACCATTCTTGAAGCTCAAAATAGGAAAGTTTAGGACAAACAGCAAAGAGTTTTCGCATTTTCCTCTATTCGAGAATTTGAGGGGTAGAGTACTTTTGTGAGGGCTTTGTAATTAGCCCCAGCTTAAAATTACAGCTTCTGACTCTTTGCTTATGAGTTTCCTGAGGGGAAATTCTTGACCTCTCTGCTTTGCACCTTCTCTGAAGAAGATAGCAAGAAAACTGTGGTTACTGACCTTCCTTCCCACATTTTTAAAGGCTTCAGAGTGTAGGGAGGTCTCTGAGCAGCAAAGCATCCTTAACCTGCTTCTAGAGGGGCTCCCAGGGTCTGTGGGTGCTCCCGATCTTTGCCCACAGCAGTGACCAACATGAAGGACTTTCCACAGTTTGTGTCTCCTATGAGTGATAGTTCTCACCAGGGTGCTATGCAGGGCCAGCTTCCAGTTGGAGAGCCCCCTGTGATTTTTCTCTTGAGTTCCTTACAGTTTTTTCTCTGCATCAAAGGTTGCTGTGGGACAAAGCCAAATGTGATAGGAAAAAACACAAACTTGGGGATTAAATAGATTTGAGTTTGAATTTGTTACACATTATGTGACCTTGGGCAAGTTATCTGCACTCTGAGCCTCAATTTCCACACCTGCAAATTGGGGATAATGCCTCATACTGTTGTGAGCACTAACCTGACAGCATATGCAAAATATCCAGAAAGTGCCTGGTATTAAGAAAATGGTTAAGAAATGCTTCTTCACTTCTTCCTTCACAGAATCCCTCACCACCTGGTCAGCTGGAAATCGCTGACCTTGTAGAGTGCCGATGTGGGGCCTTGTAATATTGTGGCATCTGTGTCACTGACCACTATCTTGCTCACAGCAAGGTCCCCAGTGAGCACTCTTTTTTTTTTTTTTTTTTTTTTTTTTTTGAGACGGAGTCTCGCTCTGTCGCCCAGGCTGGAGTGCAGTCGTGCTATCTCGGCTCACTGCAAGCTTCGTCTCCCGGGTTCACGCCATTCTCCCACCTCAGCCTCCCGAGTAGCTGGGACTACAGGCACCCGCCACCACGCCTGGTTAATTTTTTTGTATTTTTAGTAGAAACAGGGTTTCACCGTGTTAGCCAGGATGGTCTCAATCTCCTGACCTCATGATCCACCGGCCTCGGTCTCCCAAAGTGCTGGGATTACAGGCGTGAGCCACCGCGCCCGGCCCCCAGTGAGCGCTCTTGAAGCTAAGCTCATGTCACCCACCTCTTTTAAGACATAGGTCTTCTGGAGAACCCATTAAAGCTTCCTGAAAGCTGCATTTGAAAAGTGAACCTGGGTATCATCTTGTAGTTTTCCATTGCTTTCTTCATCCTCTGCCCTTTTCTTCTTTTTTTCCTTCTTATCCTAGAGTATTAAAGAACCCTTTTCTTTCTTTCTTTTGCCTAAAATGATGGCAACAGCTTCTTTCACAAAGGAAAGATACAGGATAAAATATGAGTGTTAAAGATTTAGTTGGATTCATTAAAGACAAAACCATAATAGGTTTCTAAGAGAACCTACAGCTTCCTACAGAATGTTTTTGAGGCACATCCTCAAGCTTTGAGGTCGAAAGTGTAGAGCACTCTTTTTTCACAATCCCTTTAATTCAATCGGAAATAGCATTGACTATTATTTTGTGACAATATGACAAAGCTGATGTTTTCTTGTACTGATTTTTACTCTTGCATTCATCAGAAATATATTACATAACTACAGTGTGTTAGAATCTTCACTTTCTGCTACAAAGACATAAAGATAAATCAGAAATGAATACTATTGTTATGGAGTTTCAAAGCAATTTGTTTAAAAATAAAGCAGGCTTTCTCGGAACACTGAGATTTGGTCAAGCACTTTGGCAGCTTGATATTGGACTGATAATTATGTTATTTAGCTCACCAGAAGTCTACAACCTGTAGGAACTTCTGTCTTTCCACATTGAAAGTGGGAACAAAATAGAGAATTGTTGAGTAGTGGATCTCAGGATAAAATTGATTTTATTGAGAAATAAAAAGCACTTTTGCTGTTATTTAATGATATAAAAGAACATTATCCTCAGCACTTGTGGCTGCATGGGGCATAGAGGAAACCCATAGTGTTTCCCAGCAAAGAAAAATTCTTACACTTGGGGTTGAGAGTTGACAGGTTGGCAGACCTTAAGGTAAAAATACAGGAGGGATTTAATCTTTTGATTTAATAATCAAAAGAAAAAAGAAAATACTAAATTTATCAGTGGGAAGACATCTTTCTAGTAGATTAAGAATATTGTGAGGGCCGGGCACGGTGGCTCACGCCTGTAATCCTAGCACTTTGGGAGGCCGAGGTAGGCGGATCACGAGGTCAGGAGATCGAGACCATCCTGGCTAACATGGCGAAACCCCATCTCTACTGAAAATACAAAAAATTAGCTGGGTGTGGTGGTGGGTGCCTGTAGTCTCAGCTACTTTGGAGGCTGAGGCAGGAGAATCGCTTGAACCCGGGAGGCAGAGGTTGCAGTAATCCGAGATCCTGCCACTGCACTCCAGCCTGGGTGACAGAGCGAGACTCCATCTCAAAAAAAAAAAAAAAAAAAAAAAAAAAAAAATTTGAATGTTGGCACTCAATTAGATGCAAAACCCCCAACAATGGGCAGGAATTATCCATACTATTCATATGTGAGACTCCTGACTTTACGGTTAGGAAAAGAGATTGACAGGAAATGAGAAAAGCCTTTAGAGGATTGAGAGTTGGTTTCACTCTTTCCACATGGAGGAAAACTGTTCTCCCCCTATTATCTATTAAATATTTAATTATCAGTATAGCATGGACACCAACCAATTAGAATATTATTTCCTCCCAATGCCTATGTGCCCTGACTACAGCTCTTTCCATTTCTTTTTTCTTAATGTGTTTCCTCTTCTTTGCTCTTTTAATCCTCTTCCTCTTTCTCCTCCTCTTTCTTTCATCAAAAATGAATGATGGTCTGGGAGCAGTGGCTCACACCTGTAATCCCACCACTTTGGGAGGTGGAAGCAGGCAGATCGCTTGAGCCCAGGAGTTTGAGCCCAGCCTGGGCAACGTGGTGAAACCCCGTCTGTACAAGAAATACAAAAAGTAGCTGGGCGTGGTGGCTTAAGCCTGTAGTCCCAGCTCCAGGACGCTGAGGTAGGAGGATTGCTTGAGCCAAGGAGGTTGAGACTGCAGTGAGCCATGATTGTACCACTGCACTCCAGCCTGGGCGAGACTCTATCTCTTAAAAAGAAGAAGAAAAAAAAAATGATGGTGCCTCTATAGGGCCAAGACAGAGGAAAAAAAATTTTCAGCCCCATTTTCCCTACCTCAAATTATTTTTATGGTATACAGTCCTACTACTAGCCATAGGGATTTTGTTTCCTTAATGGATTGACAATACAGCAAAAATATTGATTGAATAATTTTTTTTGCAATGAAAATGGCAATTTGCTAGAGCAACAGAAAAACAAAATCATGTTTTAGCTGGAAAAAAAAATATCCAAAGCCAAAATTATCTTGTGGTCTGTCACAGCCAGAAATGTCAATAGAGGTAAGAGCAACTAGTCATCTCCCAATCGGCAGTGCTGAAGGCAAGAAGGAGAAAATAAACATGGGAGTAGGATGAAGGAAATGAATGAGACCCGCAAGAAACTGGAGCAAAGAGAGCTAAGAGCCACTGTGAACAACCTCTGTCAACCTTTTCAGATGCACTGCCTTCATCTCTTACCTACTCATTGATCATAAGGAAATAAACCACAACACCTTTATAAATTGTTGCTTAACCACCAACGGCCATAAACAGTGGCATAATGTTAAATTCTGTCCTCCTCCATCTCCTTGTCTTTCCCGACAGCCTTCTAAAAATGCTCAGTCAAGATTGGGTTGAAAGATGGATGATTGGAAATCCACTCTCATACTGTCTCATCCAAACTCATGGTAGATAACCTCAGCCCCTACATGTGACTATCTGGAATCTGCAGGAATGGATGCCCTGGGAACAAGCCTCTAAAGCTTGAGAGCATAGGCGTACTCATGCTCTTGGGGGCTAACGATGGTCTTTGGGAGATATTAGTACCTGAAGCCATGGAATAAACTTGATGGTGCTTGTCTTGTTGATTTTACTCAAAGATTTGGTAGAGAGAATTATTTTTTATTTTAATGCAAACATGGAGTGTGTGTGTGTGTGTGTGTGTGTGTGATAAAAAATAGCTGCAACGATTTTAAAGATAAAACAAGGAACTTCTAAAAATTATATGCCTGCCTCTGCCTGCTTCAAGCTCTGACCTCAGAACTTAAGAGGTATTCCTTCACTCTCCTTTGCCACTAGGGAATAATTCAGAAGAAATATGTAAACACTGCTTCCTTAAGAACATAATTTGCTTTTCCCCACTATACCAGCGCTCTGTTGTACCTTCCAGCATCCACCCTACCCCAAAATTAATAGGTGGTGAGTCATTGCTGAGTTGTTTTAACTTTGGGGACCAGCAGGCTTGGTGTCTTTTCCAGGATGAATGGGGGAGAGGGAAATGAGATAAGGGAGGGAAGTCTGCCTCTGAGAGCTGAGAATAAAAACTCACATCATTCGAGTGAATAAAATTACATCTTCACTTCTCTGGGAAAAACTTCAGAGGTAGGGGATGGCATTTTCCAATTCTAGGGAATGAAATTAGCTCCTCAAGTTTAAAACTTCCTAGAAACCACTGCAGTGAGTTGAAGATGGGGTTGGGGGAGTGATAGGGAGACTTTTATTCCCCTGACTTATCTATTCTTTGTTTTGGTTCCTAACTGGGTCATTGTATTGGCAGGGGGCCTTCAGCTTCAAACTATGTCTTTTCACAGTTTCCAGTCATTTTCATTGAAGGGGAAACCTTCCTCTTTAATGAAGGCTCTCAACCACCTGTTATCTGGAAGAAATCTTAGTTAAAAATGGGTCATCCTTAGAAGGAATCTGAAGGAGGGGTGGGTGGGAGGAGCGAAGGACCTCCTGAAAGGAGGTCAAATCACACTGGAAAAAATCAAAATCGCAGTGTTTGTGGAGATGAGCTGTCTCTTAGCATCCTTCTTTGCTCCCTATCACAAGTATCATCATGCTAGAGCCAGCCATTGTCACCTGGGGACCTGCAACGCCACCATTTATTTCATCCATTTATACCAGAAACATTTATTAACCACTTGTATATGTTGACATGCATGCTAGAGATTCAAAGATGGATGGCTTGATTTTTCAGAAAGCTCATCATCCATAAATAGGTGATTATAGCCAGGCGCGGTGGCTCACACCTGTAGTCCCAGCACTTTCGGAGGCCAAGGCAGGCAGATCACCTGAGGTCAGGAGTTCAAGACCAGCCTGGCCAACATGGTGAAACCCCATCTCTACTAAAAATACAAAAATTAGCTGGGCACGGTGGCACACATCTGTAATCCTAGCTACTCAGGAGGCTGAGGCATGAAAATCACTTGAACACAGGAGGTGAAGGTTGCAGTGAGCCGAGGTTGAACCACTACACTCCAACTTGGGTGGCAGAGTGAGACTCCATCTCATAAATAAAAATAAAAAAATAGATAATTATAAAATGATGAAAAGGTAATAATAGAAGTAGCCTCAGGTTATTATGAGAGCTCCGATAGTGGTCACCATGCTGAACTGTCAGGGATCATGAAAGCTTGAGATGGTGGCTAGGAATGATCTGGCCCCTGTCTACTTCTTCAGCCTTACCTAATTCCACTCTCCACTATGCTGTGGCTGCACAGACTGCTTCTTTTGTTCTTCTCACATGCCATATCCTTTCCTGGTGTAGAGCCTTTACTGCTACTGTCCCCTCTGCCAGGAGTACTCCTGTTCGTGGCTTGGCTGCCTCCCTCATTCTTTATTTGCATTCAGTGCTGTTTTCTGGGAGAGGCCTCTCCCAACCACCCTAGCTAAAGCACCCTATGTTAATTAGGGTAGGTTAAGCTATGGTGCACAATGCCTTAAGGACAATGAGGTTCATTTGTCACTCAGAATAGCCATGGTGGGTGTTCCTGGTTGGCAAGTGACTCTCTTGATGCAAGGATTCAAGGCTCCCTCCTGTGGTCCTGCCTTCTCCTTGGGCTTTCTTGTTGCCGACATCTCACATGCCCATGTATATAAAAGTTTGATCTAGAAATGGTGTATATCACTTCTGCCAACATTCCATTGGGATGAAGATGCAAAAAGAGGCTAGGAAATGTAGTCTAGCAATGTGCTGAGGAAAAGGGCAAGGAGACATTTGTGCATTGTGTGAATTCCCTCATACAGCCCATTAATCCACACAACATCCTCCACTTACTGTCTTTACGGCACTTATTACACACCTGCCATCACCTTGTTTACTGATGTACACTATTGTTAGGTTGGCTCCCTCCACCACAGTCAGTTCTGTGCAGACAGGGATCTCGCCTGCTTAGTTCATACTGTATCCCTTCTCTTAGCAGAGTATTTGATGCCCAGCACAGTCAGCAAAAAATTGTCTACTGAATTAGCAAATGGATGAATGAGCAAAATCTTAAAGATCAGCAAGACTTTGGGAGGACAATGTGGGCAGATCACGAGGTCAAGAGATTGAGACCATTCCGGCCAACATGGTGAAACCCCACCTCTACTAAAAATACAAACATTAGCCGGGTGTGGTGGTGCATGCCTGTAGTCCCAGCTACTCAGGAGGCTGAGGCAGGAGAATTGCTTGAACTCGGGATGCGGAGATTGCAGTGAACTGAGATCGCGCCACTGCACTCCAGCTTTGTGACACAGGAAGACTCTGTCTCAAAAATAAATAAATAAATAAGAGAAGAAAGTGGGAGAAATGCTTCTGAGTGTGTGTGTGTGTGTGTGTGTGTGTGTAGAAGGGTCTTCCAGGCAGAGGGGACAGTTTTAGCAATGACATGGAGGTAGGAAATAGCACAATGTGTGCAGAGAATTACCAGCACTGGATAATAATATATGAGTCAAGGAACAGCTGCAGATAGTGCCAGAGATCTAGGGAGGAAAATATCTTTTGCTTTTCCATTCTTCAAAGACTTTTAATACTGAACATTAGTTTTATAATTTTTATAATTTTCATTGTTCATGAGCCTCAAGAGGTTTCTTTTTTCTGCAATATGCTCCAAAGGCCTTCCATGGTTTCATCCAACTGTATTCCTCCAACACGATTTCTAACTGTTCTTCCATCTTCCTATATTCCCCATGTGAATTTCCATCGCCTTTTCTCCGTTACTCCCCTGGTGCTATTCTCTCACCTGGTATACCATCCTTCTTTTCCCCAAGGTGTTACTTGTGTTCTAGTTAAACTTTATATTTTCTTTAATCACTGCAGCCTGCAGTTATCTCTCCTTTCTCTGAATTTCTTTTATTTAGTATTTAATTAGCTATAAAGTATCTAGTAAGTCTCTCCTATGTTATAGTTTAATTACATGTGTGGTAGTCTTGTCTCACTGCCACTATATATATATTTTAGAGAGAGAGTCTTCCCCTGTTGCTCAGGTTGGGTGTGATCATGGCTCACTGCAGCCCTGAACTCCTGGGCTCAAGTGATCCTCCCACCTGAGCCTCCTCAGTAGCTGGGACTACAGGCACACCACCACACCTGGCTAATTTTAAAAATTTTTTGTAGACAAGGAGTCTCAGTATGTTACCCAGGTTGGTCTCAAACTACTGGCTGCAAACAATCCTCCCACCTTGGCCTCTCAAAATGCTGGGATTACAGGCGTGAGCCATTGTGTCTGACCATCACTGATGATGTTTTTATGTCCTGGGATACAGGGACTATGTCTTAGACTTCTGATCTGACATCATCCATTAATTTAACAAAATGTACTGTGCATCTCACAGCCCCGGACCAGAGATATAATACATTCTGTCATCCACAGTGTTTCCAACAGTGACAAATAATGGAGATGCAAAGTTGCATAAGACCAAGTCCTTATTCTTGAGACACACACAGCCTTATGGCAGAGACAGGTAATTGCAGGGCCAGGAGTAGGGATCGATTTCCTTCTAATCAACATTTAGGGAGTATGTCCCAGTTGTAGAAAGGATCCAGTGGACCATGTTGTCACCTGTCACTGCTGTCAGTCTCTCCTCTAATCCCTTGGGTAGAAAAAGAGCTGTTACAAATTCTAGCTAATGACTCCATTCACATTGCCAGAGTGTTGTTTTAAAGCTTTCAAAGGAAACTAAAATTTCAGTTAGTTCAAGGAAAAGGGCATTACTACCAAATGTTACATCTGTTGGTTTATGATCGGGAAGATAAACCCCGCAGTTCACTTGGGTTTTATTGGAGCCACAGGAAACAAGCTGTTGGCTATCAGTAAGCATTAACCCCTGGCTGGGGGGAGATGATGACCTAAGGACCGTTTCTTGTCCTGCTGAATTTTTAGAGGCAGCCTATGCTCTGAAAGGAGCTAAAATGGGCAGTGGCGGCACTCTATTTTTTCCTTTTCCCAGCCTCATTTTCCAATGCTGTTATCAGGGACAGTTTTGACATATTATGCTTTCTAAAGGGGAGAGGGAGAAGCTCAGGTCTGTAGCAGGATGAGAACGTCTGCTTTCCTCAATAAAGTCATCTTATATTCCTTATTCAGTGTCACCCTGGGCATCCAACATTTCTTTTGTACTGTTAGTCTATATAAATGCCCCTCTCTTCTGACTTTATATTCTCTCCTTGAAGGAAAATGCAGCTGGACAATCACAGTGAACTATGGGGCAAGAAGAACACACATATCTGAATCTAGTGCATTTATCTATTCAGTTATTTGCAAGAGTGAGAAACAGGAGGAGGATGGGTGAGTGAACTCTGCCTTCATATTTTTTAGAAATTCCTGTCTCCTGTACTGGACCTTTGACAAACAAAAATATCTCTATCCTTTCACACTTTTACCTCTTGACCTTACCCAATCCATTTTCCAGTGGGCTCACAGGGATGGCTAGAGGGAGAAGGGAGAAATTCAGTGGTCTAGATAATTCCTGAGTTGGATATTTAGAGCTAAAATTGTCAGCCAGCTGTCTTGGCATTTCTTGTGTACCCTCTTCCTTTTATCATCCCCCATTCACCCATCTTGTCTATGCCCCATGATTCCAATGTTATTGGCTTAGTGCCAATCCAAGGCTGAGGTCTCTCAGCCTGTAACCTCAGGCCCTTCATTCCACACGTTTAGCAAGGACAGCTGGTGCTCACTAAGTAATCCAGGAGCTCCCACATATTCCCAGGCCCCTTTGGAGTAGATTGGGGCCACACGACTAGTTCTGACCAATAGTGTCTTAGTCTCTTCGGAATGCTGTAACAAAATACCTCAGAGTGGATGATTTATAAGCAATAGAAATGTATTGTTCACAGTTTCAGAAGCTGGGAAGTTCAAGATCAAGTTATCAGGAGATTAATTGTCTGGTGAGAACTCATTCTTTGGGAATGGCACCTTCTTTTTTTTTTTTTTTTGAGATGGAGTCTCCCTTTGTCACCCAGGCTGGAGTGCAGTGGCACAATCTCGGCTCACTGCAAGCTCTGCCTCCTGGGTTCATGCCATTCTCCTGCCTCAGCCTCCCGAGTAGCTGGGACTACAGGCACCCACCACCATGCCCAGATAATTTTTTTTTTTTGTATTTTTAGTAGAGATGGGGTTTCACTGTGTTAGCCAGGATGGTCTTGATCTCCTGACATCGTGATCCGCCCGCCTCAGCCTCCCAGAGTGCTGGGATTACAGGCATGAGCCACCTTGTCCAGCTGTGAATGGCACCTTCTATGTGTGCCCACATGGTTGAAAGACACACAAGATCCCATGGGTCTCTGTATAAGAGCACTATTCCCACTTATGAAGGTGGAGCCCTCATGACATAATCAGCTCCCAAAGACCCTACCTTTAATATTATCACACTGGGGACTAAGTTGCCACATGTGAATTTTGAGAGGAAATAAACATTGAGACCCCAGCAAATGGCCTGGGAACAGAAATGGCAGGTGAAACTTCTGGAATAAGGCCACTAGGAGCCTGATGTCTCTTTTATTCCTCTCTTTCACTGGAGGACACATACTCCAGATGTTGTAGCATCAAGAGGAAATTACATCAGATTTTACATAAGCAAGAAATAAACCTTTATTATATTCAGTCTCTGATATATGGGTATTTGTCTGTTGCTGCAGTTAGCTTTAATTATTTGAACAAACCTCATAGCTCAAAGCAGCATTCCCAGACCTTATGTCTTTCATAGCTTATTTTAAAATACTGTTTTTTGGAAGCACATTTAAAGGACTTTAAAAGCTTAAAACCAGTATCAATAATTACTACACAGCTACAGCAGCAGCAGAATTATGCCATATAGCATTTACAAAAGCATCCATAATCATTGGACTTTCCTTTGAATGCCCTTCACCATAGCTCTTGTTTGAAAAGGGCTATCTTCTATCTGTTCAGGTTGTCATATAGATGTATGGGAAATGTTTTGTGTAATTCAGTAAACACGCAATTTTTAAAAATTGCAGCCATTTCTGCAAGTCTCTATGCTATGTTGCATGAACTGCTCAGCTCAATATTTCTCCCATATGCATTGCTACAATGGCATATTTTTTGGTTAAAGCACACTTTAGTGATAAATAAAGATCAAACATGTGGCAATGTTTGTGGTGTATTCGTATGCCACTAACCTGTAGTGTGAAGCTCATGTGCATCACATCAGGACCTTATTCCAATTGTTCCCGAATGTTTGAGTCTCACAACAGTCATGCTCAGACCATGCCTGTCTCTGAAATCTTAATTTCCATTGCTACTACTTTCCCTCACATCTTTGCTCATGTTGTCTTCTCTGGCATTAACACCCTCCTTCTTTTGTCCTTTTACATTTCCTATTCTCTCTCTCTTTCTTTCCAAGAGGCCAATTTCTACCTATATTTTAGGATCCAGCTCAAGCATCACCTCCTCCACAAAGCTTTTTCTAACCCCCTCATCAGCTCCCAGAGCATCCTGTGCTTATTTCTAGCACAGCAAGTGTCCAAGTACAATTCAATGGGTTTAGTATATTTATGAATATATGCAACCATCACCATAGTCACTTTCAGACCATTTTTATCGCCTCGGAAAGAAACCCCTACATTTAGCCATCATTCCCCTTGTACTCCCACTCCTTCCCGCTAACTAATTAGTAATTAGTAGAATTACTAATCTACCTCCTATCTCTAGAGGTTTGCTGCACGTTCCATGTAAATGAAATCATGTAATATTATGAATGGCTTCTTTCACTTAACATAATGTTTTCAAGGTTCATCTGTGTTGTAGCATCTATTAAAATTTCATTCCTTTTTATTGCTGAATAATATCTAATTGTATGGATATACCAGTTTGTTTATCCATTCAAAGTTTTTACTTTTTGGCTATTATGTATAATGCTGCCATGCATATTTATGTGCAAGTTTTTGTGCTTACATGTTTTCAGTTCTCTTGGATATATCAAAGAGGAGTTTCTGGTCCATATAGTAACTCTATGTTTGACCATTTGAAGAACAATTACCCTGTTTTCGAAAGTGCCTGGACCGTCAGTAGTGTATGAGAGTTCAGTTTCTCCACAGCCTTTTTACTCCTTTTTACTATCTGACTAATGATTCTAGACATCTTAACGAGTGTGAAGGGTATCTCATTGTGGCTTTGATTTGCCTTTTTCTGATGACTAATGATGTTGAGCATTTTTCATGAGCTTATTGGCCATTTGTACACCTTCTCTGGAGAAATGTTTATCCAGATACTTTGAACATTTTTAAATTGAGTTGTCTTTTCATTATTGAGTTGTGAGAGTTCTTTAAAAAATTCTATATATCTCTCATGAGATATATGATTTATAAATATTTTCTCTCATTCTGCGTGTTGTCTTTTTCCTTTTTCTTGATGGTGTCCCATTAAACACAAAAAAATGCATTTTTATGAAATAATATTTATCTTTGTATTTTTCTTTTTTAACCTTTATTTTAGGTTTGGGGGTATATGTGAAGGTTTGTTACATAGGTGAACGCATGTCATGGGGGCTTTGTTGTACAGATTATCTCATCACCCAAGTATTAAGCCGAGTACCTAATAGTTATCCTTTCTGCTCTTCTCCCTCCTCCCATGTTTCACCATCTAGTAGACCCATGTCTGTTGTTCCCTTCTTTGTGTTCATGTGTTCTTATCATTTAGCTCCCACTTATAAGTGAGAGCATGTGGTATTTGGTTTTCTGTTCCTGCGTTAGTTTGCTTAGGATAATGGCCTCCAGCTCCACCTATGTTCCTGCAAAAGACATGATTTCATTCTTTTTTATGGCTGCATAGTATTCCACGATGTATATGCACCACATTTTCTTTATCCAATCTGTCATTGATGGGCATTTAGGTTGATTCCATGTCTTTGCTATTGTGAATAGTGCTACAGTTAACATTTATGTGCATGTATCTTTATGATAGAATGATTTACATTCTTCTGAGCATATACTCAGTAATGGGATTGCTGGGTCGAATGGTAGTTCTGCTTTTAGCTCTTTGAGAAATTGCCATATTGCTTTCCACAATAGTTGAACTAATTTACACCCCCACCAACAGTGTATAAATGTTCCTTTTCTCTGCAAATCTGCCAGCATCTGTTATTGTTTGACTTTTTAGTAATAGTTATTCTGACTGGTGCGAGATGGTATCTCATTGTAGTTTTGATTTTCACTTCTTTAATGATCAGTGATATTGAACTTTTTCATATGCTTGTTGGCTGCATGTATGTCTTCTTTTGAAAAGTATTGGTTCATGTCCTTTGCCGACTTTTTAATAGGGTTGTTTGTTTTTCTCTTGTAATTTTTTTCAAGTTTCTTGTAGATGCTAGATAAACTTTTGTCAGATACATAGTTTACAATTTTTTCCTCCCATTCTATAGGTTGTCTGTTTACTCTGTTGATAGTCTCCTTTGCTGTGCAGAAGCTCTTAAGTTTAATTAGATTCCATTTGTCAATTTTTGCTTTTGTTCAGATTGTTTTTGGTGTCTTTTTCATGAAATCTTTGCCCATTCCTGTGTCCAGGATGGTATTGACTAAGTTGTCTTCTGGGTTTTTATAGTTTTTGGTTTTACATTTAAGTCTTTAATCCATCTCAAGTTGATTTTTGTATATGGTGTAAATAAGGAGTCCAGCTCCAATCTTCTGCATATGGCTAGCTTGTTGTCCCAGCACCATTTATTGAAAAGGGAGTCCTTTCCCCATTGCTTTTTTTTTGTTAGCTTTGTCGAAGATCAGACAGTCGTAGGTGTGAAGCCTTATTTCTGGGCTCTCTATTCTGTTTCATTGGTCTATTTGCTTGTTTTTGTACCAGTACTATGCCGTTTTGGTTACTGTAGCCCTGTAGTATAGCTTGACGTTGGGTAACGTGATGCCTCCAGCTTTTTGCTTAGGATTGCCTTGGC